>NC_000001.11:58341713-58493228 GCF_000001405.40 Homo sapiens | reverse complement strand
TAGCATGAAGGGCTGTTGAATTTTGTCAAAGGCCTTTTCTGCATCTATTGAGATAATCATGTGGTTTTTCTCGTTGGTTCTGTTTATATGCTGGATTACGTTTATTGATTTGCGTATGTTGAACCAGCCTTGCATCCCAGGGATGAAGCCCACTTGATCATGGTGGATAAGCTTTTCGATGTGCTGCTGGATTTGGTTTGCCAGTATTTTATTGAGGATTTTTGCATTGATGTTCATCAGGGATATTGGTCTAAAATTCTCTTTTTTTGTTGTGTCTCTGCCAGGCTTTGGTATCAGGATGATGCTGGCCTCATAAAATGAGTTAGGGAGGATTCTCTCTTTTTCTGTTGATTGGAATAGTTTCAGAAGGAATGGTACCAGCTCCTTCTTGTACCTCTGGTAGAATTCGGCTGTGAATCCATCTGGTCCTGGACTTTTTTTGGTTGGTAAGCTATTAATTATTGCCCCAATTTCAGATCCTGTTATTGGTCTCTTCAGAGATTCAACTTCTTCCTGGTTTAGTCTTGGGAGACTGTATGTGTCCAGGAATTTATCCATTTCTTCCAGATTTTCTAGTTTATTTGTGTAGAGGTGTTTATAGTATTCTCTGATGGTAGTTTGTATTTCTGTGGGATCGGTGGTGATATCCCCTTTATCATTTTTTATTGTGTCTATTTGATTCTTCTCTCTTTTCCTGTTTATTAGTCTTGCTAGTGGTCTATCAATTTTGTTGATCTTTTCAAAAAACCAACTCCTGGATTCATTGATTTTTTGAAGGGTTTTTTGTGTCTCTATTTCCTTCAGTTCTGCTCTGATCTTAGTTATTTTCTTGCCTTCTGCTAGCTTTTGAATGTGTTTGCTCTTGCTTCTCTAGTTCTTTTAATTGTGATGTTAGGGTGTCAATTTTAGATCTTTCCTGCTTTCTTTTGTGAGCATTTAGTGCTATAAATTTCCCTCTACACACTGCTTTGAATGTGTCTCAGAGATTCTGGTATGTTGTGTCTTTGTTCTCGTTGGTTTCAAAGAACATCTTTATTTCTGCCTTCATTTCGTTATGTACCCAGTAGTCATTCAGGAGCATGTTGTTCAGTTGCCATGTGGTTGAGTGGTTTTGAGTGGGTTTCTTAATCCTGAGTTCTAGTTTGATTGCACTGTGGTCTGAGAGACAGTTTGTTATACTTTCTGTTCTTTTAATTTGCTGAGGAGTGCTTTACTTCCAACTATGTGGTCAATTTTGGAATAGGTGTGGTGTGGTGCTGAAAAGAATGTATATTCTGTTGATTTGGGGTGGAGAGTTCTGTAGATGTCTATTAGGTCCACTTGGTGCAGAGCTGAGTTCAATTCCTGGATATCCTTGTTAACTTTTTGTCTCATTGATCTGTCTAATGTTAACAGTGGGGTGTTAAAGTCTCCCATTATTATTGTGTGGGAGTCTAAGTCACTTTGTAGGTCTCTAAGGACTTGCTTTATGAATCTGGGTGCTCCTGTATTGGGTGCATATATATTTAGGATAGTTAGCTCTTCTTGTTGAATGGATCCCTTTACCATTATGTAGTGGCCTTCTTTGTCTCTTTTGATCTTTGTTGGTTTAAAGTCTGTTTTATCAGAGACTAGGATTGCAACCCCTGCCTTTTTTTGTTTTCCATTTGCTTGGTAGATCTTCCTCCATCCTTTTATTTTGAACCTATGTGTGTCTCTGCACGTGAGATGGGTTTCCTGAATACAGCACACTGATGGGTCTTGACTCTTTATCCAATTTGCCAGTCTGTGTCTTTTGATTGGAACATTTAGCCCATTTACATTTAAGGTTAATATTGTTATGTGTGAATTTGATCCTGTCATTATGATGTTAGCTGGTTATTTTGCTCGTGAGTTGATGCAGTTTCTTCCTAGCCTTGATGGTCTTTACAATTTGGCATGTTTTTGCTGCGGCTGGTACCGGTTGTTCCTTTCCATGTTTAGTGCTTCCTTCAGGAGCTCTTGTAGGGCAGGCCTGGTGGTGACAAAATCTCTGAGCATTTGCTTGTCTGTAAAGTATTTTATTTCTCCTTCACTTATGAAGCTTAGTTTGGCTGGATATGAAATTCTGGGTTGAAAATTCTTTTCTTTAAGTATGTTGAAGGGCCGGGTGCAGTGGTTCACGCCTGTAATCTCAGCACTTTGGGAGGCTGTGGTGGGTGGATCACGAGGTCAGGAGATTGAGACCATCCTGGCTAACATGGTGAAACCCCGTCTCTACTAAAAATACAAAAAAATTTAGCCGGGCTTGGTAGCGGGTGCCTGTAGTCCCAGCTACTCGGAAGGCTGAGGCAGGAGAATGGTGTGAACCCAGGAGGCAGAGCTTGCTGTGAGCCGAGATCGCGCCACTGCACTCCAGCCTGGGCGAGAGCGAGAGTCCGTCTCAAAAAAAAAAAAAAAAAAAAAAAAAAAAAAGAATGTTGACTATTGGCCCCCACTCTCTTCTGGCTTGTAGAGTTTCTGCTGAGAGATCCGCTGTTAGTCTGATGGGCTTCCCTTTGTGGGTAACCCGACCTTTCTCTCTAGCTGCCCTTAACATTTTTTCCTTCATTTCAACTTTGGTGAATCTGACAATTATGTGTCTTGGAGTTGCTCTTCTCGAGGAGTATCTTTGTGGCATTCTCTGTATTTCCTGAATTTGAATGTTGGCCTGCCTTGCTAGATTGGGGAAGTTCTCTTGGATAATATCCTGCAGAGTGTTTTCCAACTTGGTTCCATTCTCCCTGTCACTTTCAGGTACACCAATCAGATGTAGATTTGGTCTTTTCACATAGTCCCATATTTCTTGGAGGCTTTGTTCATTTCTTTTTATTCTTTTTTCTCTAACCTTCTCTTCTTGCTTCATTTCATTAATTTCATCTTCCATCACTGATACCTTTTCTTCCAGTTGATCGAATCGGCTACTGAGGCTTGTGCATTCGTCACGTAGTTCTTGTGCCATGGTTTTCAGCTCCATCAGGTCCTTTAAGGACTTCTCTGCATTGGTTATTCTAGTTAGTCATTCGTCTAATCTTTTTTCAAGATTTTTAACTTCTTTGCCATGGGTTCGAACTTCCTCCTTTAGCTCAGAGTAGTTTGATCGTCTGAAGCATTCTTCTCTCAACTCGTCAAAGTCATTCTGCGTCCAGCTTTGTTCTGTTGCTGGTGACGAGCTGTGTTCCTTTGGAGGAGGAGAGGCACTCTGATTTTTAGAATTTTCAGTTTTTCTGCTCTGTTTTTTCCCCATCTTTATGGTTTTATCTACCTTTGGTCTTTGATGATGGTGACGTACAGATGGGGTTTTGGTGTGGATGTCCTTTCTGTTTGTTAGTTTTCCTTCTAACAGTCAGGACCCTCAGCTGCAGGTCTGTTGGAGTTTGCTGGAGGACCACTCCAGACCCTGTTTGCCTGGATATCAGCAGCGGAGGCTGCAGAACAGCGGATATTGGTGAACAGCCAATGTTGCTGCCTCATCATTCCTCTGGAAGTTTTGTCTCAGAGGAGTACCCGGCCCTGTGAGGTGTCAGTCTGCCCCTACTGGGGGGTGCCTCCCAGTTAGGCTACTCAGGGGTCAGGGACCCACTTGAGGAGGCAGTCTGTCTGTTCTCAGATCTCAAGCTGCATGCTGGGAGAACCACTACTCTCTTCTAAGCTGTCAGACAGGGACATTTAAGTCTGCAGAGGTTTCTGCTGCCTTTTGTTTGGCTATGCCCTGCCCCCAGAGGTGGAGTCTACACAGGCAGGCAGGCCTCCTTGAGCTGCAGTGGGCTCCACCCAGTTCGAGCTTCCCAGCTGCTTTGTTTACCTACTCAAGCCTCGGCAATGGCAGGCACCCCTCCCCCAGCCTCGCTGCCACCTTGCAGTTTGATCTCAGACTGCTGTGCTAGTAATGAGCGAGGCTCTGTGGGCGTAGGACCCTTTGAGCCAGGCGTGGGATATAATCTCCTGGTGTGCCGTTTGCTAAGACCGTCGGAAAATTGCAGTATTAGGGTGGGAGTGACCCAATTTTCCAGGTGCCGTCTGTTACCCCTTTCCTTGGCTAGGAAAGGGAATTCCCTGACCCGTTGCACTTCCCGGGTGACACGATGCCTTGCCCTACTTCGGCTCACGCTCGGTGCGCTGCACCGACTGTCCTGCACCCACTGGCCAACAATCCCCAGTGAGATGCACCCAGTACCTCAGTTGGAAATGGAGAAATCGTTCGTCTTCTGCGTCGCTGACGCTGGGAGCTGTAGACTGGAGCTGTTCCTATTTGGCCATCTTGGCTCCAGCAGGAATATATTTTCAAGTACACATCTTTCATGAAAATATTGATCATAAAACTTGGACAAAAATATCTGTACATAATATAAAAATGTTATGTTCTCACTGATAAGTGGGAGCTAAGCTATGAGGATGCAAAGGCATAAGACGTATACAGTGGACTTTGGGGGCTCAGGGGAAACAGTGAGAAGTGGGTGAGGGTAAAAGACTACACACTGGGGCTGGGCGTGGTGGCTCACGCCTGTAATCCCAGCACTTTTGGAGGCCGAGGCAGGAGATACCTGAGGTCGGGAGTTCAAGACCAGCCTGACCAACATGGAGAAACCCTGTCTCTACTAAAAATACAAAAATTAGCGAGACATGGTGGCTCATGCCTGTAATCCCAGCTACTCAGGAGGCTGACACAGGAGAATTGCTTGAACCTGGGAGGCAGAGGTTGCAGTGATCTGAGATCGCGCCATTGCACTCCAGTGTGAGCTACAAGAGTGAAACTCTGTCTCAAAAAAAAAGACTACACATTGGGTACAGTGTACACTGCTTGAGTGATGGGTGTACCAGAATCTCAGAAGTCACCATTTAAGAACTTTTTCACGTAACTGAACACTGCCTGTTCCCCAAAAACCTATTGAAATAATAAATAAATAAATAAAACAAAGTTATGGTTCCAATCATCAGAACATAGTATAGTAAAATTAATATAACAAAAATTAAAAGATGGATAACCACATGAAAATTAAAATTCCGCACATGTAAAGCAAAAGAGAAATCTATAAACAATAAGAGGATGGCTTGTAATCAATGAACTTTATAATGATGTAGTTATATTTTCATGAGTTTTTACTAAATCTGTATTTAAAGAAAACTTTATCAGTTTAAATGTCTATATTAGAAAAAGAGAAAAGAAATATAGAACTATAAATGTCTCAAATAGGGAAAATATAATTAATAAAATTAAGCAGAAATAAGCAAAATGACAGTAGTTGATTCTTTGGGAAATTTAGTCAAAGTCATAATCATTAGATTAGTTAGACAAAGTAAAATGTAAATAGGATCAGGAGAAGAGGTACGGTAACATGCAAGAAAACTGAAATATTTGGGAGAATGTTATTTTTAGTTAGATAATGTTAATTAATAGCTCAGGTCAAAATCAGAAGTAATTAAAGTATATGTGTGTTGAGGGGGGAGGGGAATTGCTAGAGTGGATGCAGCTAGGAGTAGAAATTATAGCTAGAATGAAGCTTCTCAAATTACTAATTTACAAATTACAAATTACTAAATTACTTTAGAAAGAAGTAAGGTATAAATAAATCAAATTTAAAAAACTATTAGAACCCATAGAGTCATAATAAATTAGCAAAGAAAAGGACGCCTAGCCCTGATGGGATTTAATTTGGAGAATTTTTTCAGAAGTTCAGAGAACAATTGCCTAGTTACTAATTAGTTCTACCTTCAAAATGTAGAAAGGTATGTTATTAAGTTTCTGATTCATTTTACAAGCATAAATGATTTTGTTTTGACAATTTGATAAAAACAATAACTTTAAAAGAATTTATGGACTGGGGTCATTAATTGACAATACGATATTATATTACAGTAATTATTTACTGTGAGCAAGTTAATTATCCTCAAATGCATGAGCAGCATCATAAAAGAAAAGCTATTAAAACAGAAGAGGAAATTTAGGACTCATCTTCAGTTCCTCTTTCCTTCACTTCTGTGTCCTATTCATGAAAAAATCTTGACTGCTTTAACAAGTACATTAAGAATCTGTGGGCTTCTCAACTTCGCCACTGCTCCTTTCCTAGTAAAAGTCACCATCATCTCCTCCCAAGTTACCGCAGTCATTTCCTGTTGTCACTTTTCACCTCACGATGTCACGTTTCACCTCAACTCCTAACAACCTATTTTCAATATGTAGCCAGAGTGATCATTGTAATGTCCTTTCCTTGGTTAAAACCCTCTAGTGGCTTCTCATCTAACTTAGAATAAAAATCCAGACTCTTCCTATGTCTTCCAGGCACGTAATTTGGCCACTGCCTAGCTCTCCAACTTCACCACATGCCCCTTTCCTTAGGCTTTCCTTGGTTTAGGAAACATACAAGACCAGGGTATGTCCCCCATTAAGCTAGTGTCCTCCTTACAGCTCTTCTACTTGCTGATTTCTCTGTCTGAAACATTCTTCCCTCAGTTCTTTAGGCAAATGTCACTGTCCTGGGGAGGCTTTCTTTGATCCCATAATCTTAAATCGCTTCCCTTCCATGTACTCATTGTCCGTCCAACACACCTCACTCTTTAGTTTCTTCATGTACTTAACTAAAATTACCTTATTTGTTTATTGGCTTTTACCCTAGTGTGTAAGGCCTTTGTACACTGCTGTATCCATAGTACCTATGAGAAGTTGAGATGATTAGTGAATATTAGTTAAATGATTGCATGATGTGTAATAATAGGCAGGATAAGCAATATAATAGTGGGTGAAAAATAGAAAAATTGGCAGTAGAATTGAACAGTCCTTCCACTCCCTTATAGAAATTTAGCATGTAGGACATTAATAGTTGGTAACGGGAGAAAGATGGTCGCAGGAAATAGTAATATAAAGATAACAGTGGTCTTAGGAGTCTTCGGTTTTAATTCTGACTCAGCCATGTAACTTGGAGAAAGTTACCTAATCCAACCTTTAGTTTTCTTCATATGTGAAATCAGGATAGCAATATCTCCTAGATGTTGGATGTACATACTTGTGCATTTCTGTAGGTAAGGTCCTGCTGTCTTCTTTGCCTTGTCCCCCTCTCTTTGGCATAGACATTTTAATGATAAGTATTTTATGTCAGGCCCAAGATTTCAAAAGTGGTTCAAATTCCAATGTCAATTTAGATGTGTAAAATACCTCACGCAGTGAAAGGCACATAGAAAGTGAACAGTAGATGTTAGTTTCTTTCACTCATAGTTGTAGTCTTTAGGCTGGCTAATTCTATATTTAACTTCAAATCTTCCTCAGGATTCTCAGAACCATATATTCTTGCTATTAAAATACATTCCTGCTTTTTCTTAAACCATAAACTCCTAAGAGTATTTTCTCTATGACATTTATCATAATGATTTATTCATAGCTGGTGTTCTATAAATGTTTGTTTAAAATTTAGCATGCGTTTGTTAAGTGCCTGTTATGTGCAGTGCGTGGAGTTAAACACAGAAAACAAAGTAAAGGAAGTGGAAAGACATATTCTAGCTATATGGTAGGAAAATTTTGCTCACTTTTGAAGAGATGAAGATATATTTAATAAGATAGATTAGAATTTATAAAAATAAAAAGACATTGGCGCCCTGAAATATATAAAATGAATATGGAAAGGAAAGGAAAAAAGAAAAAATAAGTTACCAAGACATCCAATAGAATCTTACTATGCAAAGTAGATGAAGATTTGATAGAAATATGTATGGTCATAACAGGATTCTGCTTGATAGATATTTGGGGAGGAGAAACAGTTCACACATGAAGAAGTAGTGATAGAAAACCTGTATGAAGAACATATAGTGTTTCTAGCAATTAAAGAAACCTAGCTCAGACATCTCCAAAGTACATTTATTCAGTAAAAAATTTACTCAAGAAATATCATGTGATACAAAAAAGCATGAGCACAAAAAGCATGTAGAGCAAAAGCGGTAGAAACAAAACAGGTTCTAAACCCAGCTTTTTTACTTCCAGGCCAGCTTTTTTTTTTTTTTTTTTTTTTTTTTTTAGTAGTAGACTCTTTTATTTTTAGACTCTAAAGCTTCAACTTTTAATTGAGTAGAAGGTATAGAGATTTCCCTTATACATCTGTCCCCGCATACTCACAGCCTCCCATACCATCAAAATCCCATGCCAGAGTGATAATATTAGTTACAATTGATGAACCTATGTTGACCCATCATTATCACCCAAAGTCCATTAGGGTTTACTCTTGGTGCTGTACATTCAGTGCATTTTGACAAATGTATAATGACATGTATCCACCATTATAGCATCATGCAGAGTAGTTTCACTGCCATAAAAATACACTCTGTGCCTACTCATTCCTCCCTCCCCCTAGCCCCTGGCAACCACTGATCTTTTTACTGTCTCCATAGTTGTGCCTTTTCCAGAATATCATATAGTTGGAATCATGTAGCCTTTTCAGATTGGCTTTTTTCTCTTAGCAATATACGTTTAAGGTTCCTCATATCTTTTCATGGCTTGATAGCTAATTTCTTCTTAGATCTGAATAATATTCTTTTGTCTGGATATCCCACAGTTTATCCATTCACCTATCGAAGGAAATCTTGGTTATTTCCAAGTTTTAGCAAATAAAGCTGTTAAAAACATTTACCAAGCCAGCTTTTTGTTCCTTGCCCGGCATTTAACTTCTCTGAGACTCAGTTTCCTCATCTGTAAAATTGAGCTGATATTTTCTAAGGATTCTGAGGTTTGAAATTATGTAATTATCTATATAAAAGTCATGAAATGTTATGTGAATAACTGTGAATAACTCAAGTATGCCTGTATTACTGGTGACATTAAAGGTTGATAAAGCCTTTCTGGTAGAAAGCAGTTTGGTCCTATATAACAAAAAGTATAATCTACCTGTGCTTACTCTTTGATCAGATCATTCTATTTTGGGTGTTAGACTTCACATATCTCCAAATGGAGGTGAGAAAAGATTTTTTTAAAGAAAAGTTTTTATAGCAGGGTAATTTATAAAAGCCAAATAGACACAACTGTGGGAACAATTCTAATGCCCAGTAACGGAGAAATACAAAGTAAATTACATGAGGGCAGGGACCATGACTATTCTGACCAATGTGTACCTAGCACCTTACTCACTGTGGTGTTCTAAATATTTGTTGTATTAAAAAGACTGAATAAGCGAATTTAAGGATAAGAGAAGAGTTTTTACTGAATACACAAAGATCTTAGGGGATGGCATCCTATTCCTCTCTTTGTTGCTTTGCATCTCTCATTGCCACACTCAGCTGTGCCAGTTGTTACCTGCTGGACTCCATACTCTCCCCCTTTACTGATGCCAGTGCAGTGCTTAAACATAGGCACTACACTGATATAGCAGCCATGACAGGTAAACTTCTCACTTGGGAAAGAAAATTAACATCATTGTAAAGGAACTAATGCAAGAGTGACCGTACGTCCCAATTTTGCAGAGACAGTCATGGCTCATGCCTGATGTCTCAGTGCAAATCTTGCTAGCATCTCATTTCATTCTCAAAGGTATCCCAGTTTGGACAGTAGGTCACCGTTTAGCTGAGGATCTGACTTTCTGTTTACTTAAGTGCTGTAAGTGCTATAGTTGGGAAACATTTTCTTGTTGTGTCAATTCAGTTTACTTAAACATTTACTTAACACTCACTAGATATAAGGAAATCTTAAATCTGCTGTGAAATACAAAGAAAAATAAGACAAGACCACTGCCACTGAAGAATTTCACGTTAAGTAATGTTTTTTCAACTCTCCAGCTTACCTTGGTAACTCAGAGCCTAATCAGAGCTAGAAGTGCTCCTAGACCCAAGCTTCTGCCCTGACCCCATTCACTTAGAGAACGTCTATCTGGCTCGCATCTGACTACAAGTCCCTCTCTCCTGTGGGACTCAATGAAATGTTAGCATACAAGAACCTGTGCCCCTACCATACCCCACTCAGGGTATCTGGAATAATGGAATTCCTTGCCCAGATATGTTTGAGCCTGCTTTCAGGGCCCATCTGGACCTCTTCCTTGAACACATTCACACAAGGCCCTTTACAGTGCCAGATAAGCTAGGGCTGGGAGAGGGGGCAGATGGCAGGCTAGTGGCAAGAGCTACACAGTAAGCTCCCTGCAATCTTACATGTTCTGAAATTCAAGAATTCTAGTTTTGTACCTGGACTTCCAGGTAATTTCGAATGTGTATTCTTCAAAGTAGGAGAATAGAACAGATTTTAAGTAGTAGTGTATTAGCTTGACTTACTGCTTTTAGGTGTTTAGAGACATGGTATCTGGGCCTCCATTTTCATTCTTTCCATGGACCCCACAAATATTAGAGGCAGGCTGTTTAGAGTAAAACTTAAAATCCTTAGCATGACCTGTGAGGTCCTACATAATCTGCTCCTGCCCTCCACCCTGCTCCACTCGGCTGTACCTGCTTCTTCACTGTTCCAAAACACCCCAGGCACGCTCCCATCTCCCTTGTACTCGCAGCTCCCTCTTGGAATGATTTTTCCCTAGGTTGCCACATGGTCTCTTTCCTCATGTCCTTCAGGTCTGTCCCCCTCTTGACCCCCAAAGTCATTATCCTATCAGTGAGGCCTTGCCTGGATAGTCTTTCTAAGATTTTACCAGTCCCTCAAACACTGTCTCCTTTACTGCCTTATTTACTTCCCTTAAGACACATCAGTATCAGAAAGCCAGAAGTCGTAAAAAACTGAATTAGCTTTTTCCCCTAAATGTCTTTCTTTTAAAACTCCTAAATATTAAGACCATTTATCCTTAAAAATTATTTTGGCTCTTATATCTTAAAATTATCCATATACCCACTTTGAAGAGTTAAATAGTTCTAAGGCTAGTTACTTAAATCAGCAGCCAGTCCCTCAACCCTGCCATCAGTTTCAGGGGTAACTATTTCCAATTCTATTGGACGATTCTTTTAGTATTTCCCATTGTGTCTAAATAACATGCTTATGTTGCTACATTCTAACTTCAATTTTGGGCCTTAATTATTTTCCACCTTACAGGATGAGACGTAAGCCCTCTCTTTCCAGTGTCACACCCTGTGCATGTGCACACACATGCAGCTCTCCCCTTCTCAGTATGATGAAATTGTACTTTTTGGTTTCATCAAGATTTGGTATTTTAAACTGTAAGCACTAGTCATAGCTGAGCCCCATAGTACACTGTGATTACTTTTCCTTCCTTTGCAATGTTTTATTTCTCCTGGAGTTAAAAATTGTCATGATTTTGATTTGTTTACTTTTCTAAGTATATTAGTCCATTCTCATGCTGCTAATGAAACATACCTGAGACTAGGTAATTTATGAAGGAAAGAGGTTTAATTGACTTACAGTTCCATATGGCTGAGGATGGCCTCACAATCATGGTGGAAGGCGAATGAGGAGAAAAGTCATGTCTTACATGGCGGCAGTCAAGAGAGCATATGCAGGGGGAACTGCCCTTTATAAAACCATCAGATCTCGTGAGACTTAATCACTATCATGAGAACAGCACGGGAAACACCCACCTCCATGATTCAGTTACCTCCCATGACATGTGGGAATTATGGGAACTGCAATTCAAGATGAGATTTGGGTGGAGACATATGCAAACCATATCACTAGGTTATTATCATCAATTTTACCCAAGACTGTATCAGTTATGTATATCTTTTTTCAGTATATTCAGTCATCTATGTTCTGCAGTTTTTCTTGAAAAAAATCTCTCATAGAGCCTTTTTAAATCTGAATGATTCTCCGGTCTGCTAGAGTTTAACTGAAACCATAGATGTATCTCTAAGATTTGTTTACCCTCAAAACAGCATTAGGGCAGTTGTTACAGATTATTAATACTATTGTTGTTGTTTTTAAAATAATACTATTTGACCAAATCATGAAAACAACTGTTCACTGTAGATTTTTCAGTGGTTCTCTTTTATGTGTTATAATCAAGATACCTTTTATTAAAAAAATAACAATACATTCTTTGTTTTACATGGAGCATATTAGGGATTACTGAAACAATCTGAATACATTGATGTATATATATAGTATTTTTTTATTTTATTATTTCTTTATAGGCTCTCAAAATTAGAGAGATGTGTAATTGTCCACCACTGTCTAATCCAGACCCTCGATTACTATTCAAACTCAGCACGAAGCATTTTCTTGAAGAATCAGAGAAAGAAGACCTAAATATCACGAAGAAACAGAAAATGGATACTCTTCCTATTCAAAAACAGGAGCAAATACCATTAACATACATAGTTGAGAAAAGAACGGGCAGTTGAATTAAAATTTATGAGACACAAGATATATGAAGAATGTTGCAGTCCTTATCATTTTATGTTACTTTTTAAAAAATGATGTTTGAAGTGAAAAAAAAAAGGATATTCAGGGTCAAATCATGTACATTACAGATATTATCTAAATTCTTCTAGAATTTATTTTTCATGAAATATTGATGTATTTTAATCTATGTTAAAATATCTTCAATGAGGAAAATGTCACAGAATAAATTTATATTACACATTTTACTCTGTCTTCTACTTGCTTTTGATTTAGAAGGCAGACCCCTAGTGGATGAGAAATGAGCCCATACGGTAGTTTTTATAGTAGAGAATGTTTCAACTGAGCCTAAACTGGATTTCTAAGTCTGGGTCGTTATGATGAAGGGGGAAACAGTCTGAAGGTATCTGTTTGCAGGAAATAGTTTGCATTGGGGTGGGATTATGTGGAAAAGGGGGCCTCAGGATAGAGAATTTCCTTGTCTTCACCTGTGGATGACTGGAGAAAATGCTACTGGCAGAAGCCATTTTCATAGGGAGGCAAAAGAAGTACAGTTTGTGGTTCAGATGACAAAGCAAGAAACAGAATTGGGGGAGAGGGCATTTCCACAGAGATACAGCGTGTTCCTGGTGCACTGAAATCTTAACAGAAGTTTATGTCATTTGGTTGCTCCATGAGATTACCATTTGGGAATCTCGGGTTCCCAGAGAAGAAAAAGAGGCAAAGGCAAGGCACTGTCCCTCAAAAGAGGCTGAGGCAAGGCACTGTCCCCAAGTTGACCTTCCTGAGCAGCAGATATCAACAAGACGACTGGAGGAAAACGACAAGAGAAGCAGCACAAGACATACCCCCAGTGGTGCCCAGAAATTGCTGCATTATATAAATGTGGAAATACGAGTTATTTAATATTTGTATTCCCAAACTAGTGAAGTCTAGTGATGCTTAGGTTATATTTCTAAGAAGGGCATTTTTCTTGAAATACATTATATTAAATAAATATTTTCTTAGAGAATTAAAGAGGAAAGGGACTACTTTGTATTGTGAATCTACTATGAACTGGGCCCTATATTTATCTTTATTCCATAACCCTACTAGGTTTTATTATTCTCACTTTACAATGACAAATAGGCTTCGAGAAGTTACATAATATATCCAATATCTCTCACCTAGATAGAACAAAGCTGAGTCTATCTGACTACAAATCTGTCCATTTTTTTACAACTCTCAGATATCTAAGACTAAGCTATCAAGACAAGGAACAAAGTATTCTCAGTTGTTCATTAGCTTCCCCACATATGGCTTCAATATAAGTAAAAATCTCATCATTATGAAATCAGGGACCACTTGTGTTTTCTGTAGGTTGATTTTATAGGTTCTTCTCTCAGACCCTTCTATCAAAATTGACATGAAAAGCATAGATGAGGCAGTGTAGGAGAGTAGAACCTCTCCCCCTGCCTGTGAAAGCCTGTGAAATCTCATTTGGGATGTGTCCTGACATTATTAAATCTTCTTGGACAAAATATCTAGTTGTTAAGAAGATAAGTTCAGAGGCTGTTTATGTTTCTCAGGGATTATTATACATTACTTGTAAGGAATTTCCTGATCTGCACACGAGACAACATTGGTCATGAAGAGGTTCATATTAACTATTCTCCATATAATCATTTTTTACACTCCTTGTGATTGGAGTATTGTAAAAGGCACTCCATAACATATAAAGACACTTGGAGAATGTCACCTAAAGGTAAACAGTAAAACACAGCATTAGATTTTCCTGCAGATTTCCTAGGAAAATAATGTAGCAACGGCCTACTTTTTCTTCCATTCCCATTGTCACTTCTAATTGTGTTGTTCATACTTGCTAGAAACATATATAAGTTGACACCATGTCAGAAAGAGCAGAGATAATATCTTTATAGTATATGAAAAAGATTTTTTTTAACCAGTGGAATTAAATGTAAAAGAAATGTTACAGTTCAGCTCAATGCTTTAGAAGAAATTAAATAGCAGTTGAAATACAAGATGTATATATATACTTTAAATTTTATATGGAAATAAGCTGTATGTTCTACACTTAGTTGCAGAACTACTTTGTTCCTGTCAATACTTTTCATGTGCCTATAGGATTTAGATGATAGGCTGGTTAACTTAGTTGTTAGGAGCATGATGCTAATAAATCCAAGGCACAAACTCAACCCGATCTTTTCTATAATTCAGATAGGGTGAGACTATCCTCTAAAACTAAAGGACAGTGTGTATATTTACTGCTATATACTTATAATGCTTTGCACATTATAGGCATTCAATTAACATTGACACTGTACAATAATTATCTGTTCAAAGGATTGAAAAAAAGGAGAAACAATCATACTCTGTAAAATCTGCTTCTGTAGTTGTGGAACCCTGGACAAGTCATGCAAACTCTCTAACCCTCATTTCTTAATTGTAAAATGGGGACAAAAAAAATCCTCCTAGGTTGACCAATGACCAAGTGAAATGATATACTTAAAGCATTTAACACAAAGTCTAGAGCTGCAAATGTAATAAAAATTGTTACCATATACTGAATGCATACTTTGTACTATTAGTCCATTTTCACACTGCTATAAAGACATACCCGAGACTAGGTAATTTATAAAGAAAAGGGATTTAATTGACTCACAGTTCTACATGGCTGGGGAGGCTTCAGGAATCTCACAATCATGGCGGAAGGGTAAGAGGCATGTCTCACGTGGTGGCAGGCAAGAGAGAGTGAGTAAGAGCAGGGAAAACTGCCCCATAAAACCATCAGATATGGTGAGAAGTCACTCACTATCAGGAGAACAGCATGGAGGAAACTGCCCCCATGATTCAATCACTTACCTTTCTTGTCACATGGGGATTACAATTTGAAATGAGATTTGGGTGGGGACACAGAGTCAAACCATATCATTTATGTGTGGTGCTAAGCATTTTTCAAGCACTGTTGAACCCCACAGTGACCCTATTTATGGTAGGCATTCTATTCTACTATGCCCTATTATAGATCACGGAACTGAAGTTTAGAGGGGTAATGGAAGTTACTCAAGGGTACATGGTGTATTTCTTAAGGTTTTTTTACTTGTAAGAACAGAGGAACCAACACAAACCCAACCAAGAAAATTCGTTGCCTCAAACTGACAGAAAAGCCCAGCAGTGTGCTGCTTCAGGCACAGTTTAATCCAGGGGATCATGATATTATCAGAGCAAGGGCTCTTTTTTCTTTGCAGTCTTTCTCACCTGTTCCCTGGTGATATCCAGATGGTTGCCAGTAGCTCCCAGGGTTGCATGCTTTCACATCCAGCTGGATGTGTGACTGACTCACACCACAACTATTGAAACAAAGCCTTTAACACTCTAACTGCACCCTTGAAGCAATCACCATGGCAGGGGATGGCATTATCTTGATTGGCTTGGACCTATCAGGATCCAACATTCAAGCTGATGATGGGTATGAGTCAACACCACCCAAACAGAATGGCTACTGCGTGTTAGGAGAGATGCAACCACGGGGCTTACGAAGTAAGTGGCAGAACTAGAATTAAAACCTAATGTTTATCCTTTCAGCAGGCAAATAAACAAGATGATTCCTTGACAATTTTATCTGAAATGACATTTAATCTGATAAAAAAGTAGCTTAAATTTTATATTGATATGATAGCAAATTTTCATTAGCATATTTGCTTTAGCGTTTACAAGGTTTTTTTGTTTTGTTTTGTCTTGTTTTGTACTGAATTATATCCTCAAAACCAGCCTATGAGATTGGAAGGACAAATGGCATCATTTACTCGTAGGGGAGAAAACTAAAGCTTGGAGAATTAGGCAAGTGGTCCAAGTATGCATTCAAGTAAATGGCTGAACTGGGATTGGAACTAAAGAATTCACTGATTTGTAATCCAGTGTTCTTTTGGCAATACTGCAGTCTTTGGAAAGGGAGCTGTTACCTCCACTTACCTGGAGACCGAAGCTCAAAAATATTAGTCAATGTGTGTCCAGCAGTACTCAACTCTCAATGACAGAACTGGTTCAAACCCTCCCATCTTCTGACTCCAAAGTCCGTCCTCTTCCTCCATGTACTGCCACTTACGTGAACAAATCTCATATAGGAAGTGAGGATGAAAAATGTCCATTTCCCTTCACCCTTCACTTGTGAACAGCAGGGCCAACACCTTTTCCCTGATTTAAAAGCACCCATTTTAATAGTCTATGACAGATGGTAAAAATATCCATTTTAAGCGTATGTATACATGTGAGGGATGAAATTTCTGTTAATCACCTCATAACATGTTTTTGTGAGAGCCTAGAGAATTCTTTAATCTGTAGTGAGATGAGATAAATCTCCCACTTCATTACTGGGAAGAAAACTCTGTCAGTGTTCTACCCATCTACACTTTGCCCCCTAACTTCCATCAGAAAAGTTAGGCCAGTGGCTCGCTCCCAGCCTCTGAATCACCCAGACCTCCTTTTACATTAACTGGCTCTGCGTGCAAGGGGTTTTACACCACTAAGTTCTGTCTTGAAGGGTTGGTGTGTCTAGACTCATGCCCAGGTGTTCTCACCACACTAGCTGTTTAGGAGACTGCAGAGCATGGGGCATAAGTCACAGTGCAGCTCTGTTTCCAGGTCTTAGGATGTCTCTGATATCATCAAAGACCAAGCAGGGCCTTTGATCATCACGTGATCTCTGGTGTTATCAAAGTTCCAGCCAAAAGAAAAAAAAAATTATTTTAATTAGTTTGAGTACCTAATTATGTGAGAGAAAATATAAAATTTTTAGTTAAGCTCTTTGAAATATTAAACATAGCTGACAGGTTCCTAATACCATCTTCATAGACCACAAGAGGCCCGGGACCTTGTCCTGGGCAGCATTGGTCTAAAATCAGATTTGTTTTTTTCTTCCTTCAGAATATTAAAGTTAACTTGTTAATTTTGACCAATATATTAAAGTATAATCATATTTTCATAGGTTAGAAATGGTGGATGTTCTACTTAAGGATTCTGTTATTCTATACTTAAGGTTGTATTTTTTTAAGTAACTATTGCTTTTGCACAGAAATATTGAGTTTAGTTTTTTCCAAATTATTCCTTTCTGATGTTATGGTAGCCTTGAAAGTATTAAGGGCAACATCACTAGTCTCATTTATTTATTTGGGAAAATAGGATAGTAATATTTGCCCTGCCCAATTCCCAGAATTATTATGGGTTTAAATATAGTAACGTGTATATGCTTTACTGAACATCCCAAGTGCTGCATTGTGCTGATTCTTGTTAATATATTCTAACATGTCTTCATCTGGGCTGTGAGATTATTAGTTAAGAGAGGTCACTTCCAAAAGTTTGGCTCTGATCTGCTACAGCTCAGAAGTGATGATGATGTCTTCCTACCTGAGTGTGAGAAGAAAGGAAACTTTTATTTGTGGCACGTTTTGTTTTAGTCTGATTCGTGTGTGTGTGTGTGTGTGTGTGTGTGTTTAATTAACCTAATTCAGCCAGGCACAGTGGCTCATTCCTGTAATCCCAACACTTTGGGAGGCTGAGGCAGGTAGATCACTTGAGGTCAGGAGTTTCAGACCAGCCTGGCCAACATGGTGAAACCTTGTCTCTACTAAAAATACAAAAATTAGCCAGATGTGGTTGTGGTGGCAGGTGCCTGTAATTCCAGTTACTCGGGAGGCTGAGACAGGAGTATCGCTTGAGCCCAGGAGGCAGAGGTTACAGTGAGCCGAGATCGTGCCACTGCACTCCAGCCTGAGTGACAGAGCAAGACTCAGTTTCAATACTACTACTACTAATAATTAATCTAATTCTATTAATCCATTACGGCTCTTGTCTGGAGAGTGCTCCTGATTTCCATCAATTTCTACATTCTAATGTTTAAATCTGGAGAAATAAGGCCAGTCTTTTCCTGGAATCACCAATCCATTCGCCAGATGATGGGCTGGGAAAATGGGAATTAGTATTTGTTGAGCCCTATTAAGGCAAGATTCTACAACCTTCCTCTCCTTTTAATCTTCACAGCAACCCCGTGAGGCATGTTTTATTCTCCTAATTTACAGATAAGAAAATGAGGGTTCACAGGACTGTGTAACTTTACCGAGGTCACACAGTAATCCAGGAGTTTAGCTAGGTCTGTGAGACTCAAAGGCTTTCACTGTCTTTAATATGCTTCCCTTCACACACAAGAAGTGAGAACAATTGGCAGGGCAACGAGGGAAACAATTATTTGGGATCTTTGCTTTGTTTGAATGCCTAGAGCATTTCTCCTGCTCCATAGTCCCTGAAACTTTCCATGATCTCATCGCTCAACACCAGCTCCCTTTGCAATGAGCCAATCAGCTAACTAAAAGGTATTCATGAAAAAGGCCCAGCAGCCTCAGGAACATACAGTTGACCCTTGGCAACACAGGAGTTAGGGTACTTTTTGGACCCTAACAGGTACCCAAAGTCACATGGGCCACCAGCTTTGACCTGAGCTTATCACAATGAACCAACTCCTTCTCTCAGGGGAACAATTAGGTTGGTGCAAAAGTAGTTGCTTTTTTTTTTTCATTACTTTTAAATGGCAAATTTTAAAAGGCAATTACTTTTGCACAAACCTATAGTTTAGGAAACCACTGAGGATTCAAGGTCAGAAGATCTGAGTTCACATCCTGCCTTCCTTACCAGCTGTGAGATCCAGCAAGTAACTAAGCCTCTCGAAAGCTCAGTTTATCCTCACCTGTATGTTGTGGCCATGTAAAGAGCTCTATTACTGCACCTATCCCATTGTGCTGCAAGCTGGCTATTGGCCTGAAAGCTCCTTGAGGGCAGGAGCTCTGGCATCCTCATCTTTTTCATCCACACTCCACAGGAATGCTTGATGCTTTATTGGTGATTCCTAGGCTCTGGATTGGGAATGACCCTAATAGCCACCATGAAGTAGAAGTTTGACTCGGAAATCAAAGTCCAGGCATAAAGTGATATTTACGTGCATGTGACAGCTTGTCCGGGAAGAGAAGTTTATTGAACAGCCAGAACAGATTGCAGAGTTAACGCTCAACAGCTTCATCCAGAACACAGAAATCTGTCGGAGTTGAAATGTGAAGGAAACGCAGGCTAGGAAGACACACCAGTCTTGGGAAGTGTGCTTGGCGGTGCTCAGACTTTCTCTGCAGAGCGTTCTTGGGTCAGACTGTTCTGGAGATGGGGTCATTAGGGCTTGGTAAGATCAAGTCCCTAACAATAAGAGCAGTAACAAGAGCAATAATAATGGCTAGCATTCATTATTGAGACCTCTTACAAACCAGGCTCTGAAATACATGCAGTAGCTTGCTTGACTCCCTCAACAATTCTATGAGGCAGATAAAATTGTCCCATGTTATTTATTTATTTATTTATTTATTTATTTATTTATTTATTTATTTTTTTGAGACGGAGTCTTGCTCTGTCGCCCAGGCTGGAGTGCAGTGGCACAATCTCGGCTCACTGCAAGCTCCGCTTCCCGGGTTCACGCCATTCTCCTGCCTCAGCCTCCCGAGTAGCTGGGACTACAGGCGCCCGCCACCGCGCCCGGCTAATTTTTTGTATTTTTAGTAGAGACGGGGTTTCACCTTGTTAGCCAGGATGGTCTCGATCTCCTGACCTCGTGATCCACCCGCCTCGGCCTCCCAAAGTGCTGGGATTACAGGCGTGAGCCACCGCGCCCGGCCCCCATGTTATTTATGAATGAGGAAATTGAGCCCAGAGAGTCTGAGTGACTTGACTCAGACCTCCCAGGTAAGACTTACCTTGGCCTTGCAAGCTCTTGGGTCTCAGATGAAATGCTATTTGGAAGCATTAAGCATTGGGAGGTTGGCTCTGGCTGGTTGGATGGTTTGTAAAGCATGACAATACAGTGTGGTGCGGGGAAATGTCGTTTAAATTACTTTGTTTTCCTGGGACCACTTCCTCTCTTAACAAATCTTCTATAACACCTGCCCATAGAACACCCTGAGAAGGCAGTGGGTTTATTCCTTTAGGGGCCTGGCACATGGTGAGTGGCCACTGCTGGCTGCTCCTCTTTCCCTCTCGCTTTGTGGTGTATGCTCCACCTACTTCCACACGTGATTTATAAAGGAAAATTTTGGAGCCAAAGCCTGAGAGCAGGATCTCTTCTTTCCAGGACTCCATTTATTTAAGAGATTCTTTTGTAAGGCAGAGAACTTCAAGAGACAAGTGTAAGAAGGGGTTTTCATCGGTCTTTTGTTTTCTACTCAAGATAGCTTTAAGTAATAACCAGCCATTACCCACCTTGGATTTTCTGTCCTCTACTGGTGAGGTCTCTTTCTTTGAACTATTTCAAATGTCCCAGCAGAGCTGGGGAGGCCCCCTCCCCACAGCCCCACTGACTTAAGAAGAACAGATAGAGCACCCATGGTCAAGCTCAGGGGCCACAATTTGTCACTGACTCACTTGAAGGGAACCGCTTCTCCCTCTTTTACCCACGATGTTGAAAAGAGGTTGATTCAGGCTGTTTCTAAGCAAGACTTATGAAAAGTGCTAATGACAAAAATAAAACAAAATAAAAACTATAAAGTTATATCAGGACCAAATATACCAAGGACAAGGGGAGGCCACATCTCAGATAAAATGAAATAGTGAAGACAGATGAGGAAGAACTATTTTACTCCTATTCAGGACTGAGGCTAACAGTCACACCTCCATAGGGTACATTCCCTAGAGTAACATGTGAGTAGCACTCCATGGGATTAGACAATAAGATAGCCCTACCTAGGGTGTCTTTTTCTTCCAAGGAGCATGACTATCAAGGTAGGGCATAATTGAAGGTGAACAGAAGTCCTAAGTGGGAAAAGAGATGATCAGAGGGACCCTGGTTACTTTTTATGAAAGTTTATCATTATAGTAGGCAATAGTAATAGTTAACATTTATGAAGCAGAAGGTGTTGGGAACTCTACTAAACACTTTGCATATATTATCCAATTTTGCACTCACTATAATGCTGTTGTTGCCCAGCTGTATTAGTCTGTTCTTGAATTGCTAAAATAAATACCTGAGACTAATTTCTAAAGAAAACAGATTTAATTGGCTTATGGTTCTGCAGGCTGTACAGGAAGCATGGTGGCATCAGCTTCTGGGAAGGCCTCAGGGAACTTAAAATCATGGCAGAAGTGCAAAGGGGAGCAAAGCACCTCAGATGGCAGGAGCAGGAGGGGTGGGGAGGTGCTACACACTTTTAAAACAACCAGATCTTGTGATAACTCACTCACTATCACGAGAACAGCACAGAGGGGATAGTGCTAAACCACTCATCAGAACCTGCCCCATGATCCAATCACCTCTCACTGGGCCCCACCTCCAAAAAGGGGATTGGGGATTACATACAATTCGACATGAGATTTGGATGGGGACACAGATCCAAACCATATCACCAGCCAATAGCCACTTTTCCTCTTCTTTTTCTGCAAACCTTCATTTTGTTTAGGTGGCAGTATTCCCTGCCCGAGACATCATGAATGTCTAAGTCAATTATGTAATGCTGTTCACCTAAGCCAGGGCCAGGTCTAGGAACAGGTGTGTAACTAGATCTGATGAAAAAGAAAGAGAACAAAGTCAAGTACTTTCCAAGGATAGTGAATATTTTCCTCCCTGAGAAGAGAGAGGCCACAGAAAAGTCTGTTTTGCTTGTTTGTTTTTACCTATGTCTTTTATCCCTGCCTTCCAAGTGTTGTGTCAAGATATCATGGCCCAGGAAATCCTGGGGATACCAACATAGGACCCCAGAACTCCAGTGGCACTGGGTTGCTAGGACAATGCTGGCACTGTCTGCCTCAAAACTTTTTGTGAAGTGAGATATTAAATGTCTTTATTATTTATGCCACCATTAATTGGGTATTCTCTTACTTGCACCTAAAAGTATTCCTACTGATAAAATAGTATTGGTTCCATTTTATAATTGAGAAAACCAGGACTTAAAAAAATTAAATCCCTTCCCCTCTGTCACACAGCTTGTAAGTGGGAAGGCCTAATAAGCTTTTGCTGCTACGATTCTGCCTGGATCCAAGTCTACAGTCCAGGGGAATTACATTCCAGGGGCAGTAGGTTCGCTCAATCAAATAAGAAGAGCTCTTGACACTGGGCAGCCGAGTAGGGAGCTCTCAGTCATAGGAGATGCTCAAGCAAAGATAAGACAGCTATTCATGAAGGTCGCTGGAAGGAGAGCCAGGCTTTAAGTAGACAGGAGTCAGGAAGACGGACTGCGTGCGAGATGCAAATATATCATAAACGTGTTCTGGAATAGAACCGCATGGGCCCAAACAATAGGCAAAAAAGAAACTGCAGTCTTCGCTAACCAGGTTTCCAGTTTGGTGATGAGACAGTGCTTCAGACATCTGTGCTCCAGGAATGGGTTTGACAGTGCTGCTCCTGGACCATTGAGGGTGATGGCATGGTGAAGGATAAGGATCAGGCCTGGATCTGCATGAAAAGTCCCAGCTCTGGCTAGGTGCGGTGGCTCATGCCTATAATTTCAGCACTTTGGGAGGCCAAGGCAGGCGGATCACTTGAGGTTAGGAGTTCAAGACCAGCCTGGGAAACATGGCAAAACCCCATCTCTACTAAAACTGCAAAAATTAGCTGGGTGCGGTGCTGCACACCTGTAATCCCACCTGCTTGGGAGGCTGAGGCACAAGAATCTCTTGAACCTGTGAGGCAGAGGTTGCAGTGAGCCGAGACTGCACCACTGCACTCCAACCTGGGTGACAGAATGAGACTCCATCTCAAAAATAAATAAATAAATAAAATTAAAAATAAAAATAAATAAATAAATAAATAAATAAATAAATAAATAAATAAAGAGAAAGTCCCAGCTTTGCTGTTTTGTAGCTGCCAACCTCAAATTCCCTCTTTGTCAAATGGGAAGAATGGCCTCAGTGTACTTCCTGGGGCTGCTGTGAAGAGTAAATGAGATGATTGTACACTTCTACAAACGTTTATTGAAGGCCTACTATATGCCTAGCCTTCTCTCAAGTCCTGATGTCTGTGGAAGCTGAAAGAATTTCACAAATTTAAAATATTAAGTATTATTATTTATTTTTAAAAATTCTCTAAGTCCTCCCTTCCTCCTACCTCACCAAGGAACTCCATCCATCTATTTTGAAATAAATTGAGCTCTTACCCAGGAAAATAGAAGAAATGGCTCCGGCAGAGAGAGTTTCCAGCAAGACAAATCCCCAATGGCTTCTCCCTGCCACCGCTCAATAATGGTGTTTGCTATAAATCAGAGAGCTTCTTTATCAAGTGCCTTGTAAGCGCTTGGGACTGATTTAGCCCTAGAGTGAGATTAATCACAAATTGCTGCTTTAGAAAGAGTGATGGGTGTGAATTAGAAGGTTCAGTGGAGATCATTCTGATTCACCCTGATTGCTATAGATAGCTGGAGTTTACAGAACTAAGGCCCTAAGTTTTTTAACATTACTCAGTTTGAGAAAAATTACTACATCTAAGAAAAGATTTCTTTTCCCCTAATAATGTCATAGTGGGATAGGGAAGGAACTAATGTTTTTTTTTTTAAAGCACCTACTGTTGGTGCCAGACTCTATGCTTACATCATGTTTTTTAATCCCTATAACAACTGCATGAGATAGGTCTGGTTATCCTCATTTTTCAGATAACAAAAGTGAGACCTACATCAGTGAAAGACTTATACAATGTTATGCAATGCCCAAATGGCTGAGATGAGAATAAAATGCAGGTCTGTGTGATTCCAAAGCCTTACCATGGAGCCTCTTGGATCACTGATGGCAGATTCCTGGCAGCAGAGCTCAACATAGATACCAAAAATAAATGAAAGTGGTTTGCTGTGACTGCTGGCCAGCAATGATGCTTGAGACAGTCCCTTAGGACCCAGCTTTAATGACCCTGTCCTGTGATAACCTTCTCTAACATCTCACTTTTCTTTTCATAAGACGGAGGATGAATAAATGAAAGAAGGTCAGCCAGGCGGAATGTTTCTGCTTCATCTCTGCTCATATACAGTGTAGCGGCCATGGAGGGGTACCACTCAGATCACTCTTCAAGTGAGTCCTCTGTGGCATGCATGACTGACAAATGCTCCAGCTGTCACACCTTCAGGCCCATGGTAACTGAATATAGCAGGGGCACTAGAGCTGGGCCGTTCCTGCTGCACATGAGATGGTGTCATGGATGACTATTGCATGAGGACTCCCTGTTGACCTGGCCAAAACTTTCTTAGAACTGCACTGTAGTCACAGCTCTTCCTACTTCCTCCTCCTTCTTTCCCACTCTCCTTTCTCGCACTTCAGACTCACATCATGGTCTGAAGGCTCTCTCTGCCTCCTCCTGATCCTCTCCTTTGTCATGCACCAGAGCTTCTCCAATACATCTCATGCACAGCTAATCCCATCTTGGTGTCTACTTCCTGAAGAATGCTAATGCAAAGACACAGTGACTCTGTTTTTCAGCCCACATGTCTCTCACCTGGGAAACAGATCAATTCTATGATATCATCATGCAATGGAATACTATAGGGCAGTCAAAATGAACGAATTAGAGATATAGGCATCAACATACATACATCTCAAAAAGATAATGTTGAGCAAAAACAAAAATGTTGCAGAGTGATACATACAGTATGTAACATTTATACAAAGTTTTAAAACTTGTGAAACAATGTCATATATAATTTGTAGATGAGTACATATGTGACAAAAGCATAAAAACACACTAAGGGCTGGGTGCGGTGGCTCGCGCCTGTAATCCCAGCACTTTGGGAGGCCAAGGTGGGTGGATCATGAGGTCAAGAGATTGAGACCATCCTGGCCAACATGGTGAAATCCCGTCTCTACTAAAAATACAAAAATCAGCTGAATGTGGTGGCACATGCCTGCAGTACCAGCTACTTGGGAGGCTAAGGCAGAAGAATCACTTGAACCCCGGAGGCAGAGGTTGCAGTGAGCTGAGATCGCGCCATTGCACTCCACCCTGAGCACAGAGAGAGACTCCATCTCAAAACAAACAAACAAACAAACAAAAAAACCAAAAACACACTAATGAAAGATAAACCCAAATTCAGGAGAGAGGTTACCACTGGGGAGAAAAAGAAAAATGCAAACAGGTTTTGTATTTTACGCTGCGTGGTTGGTACACAGTTGTTCATTATACCTACGCTTTTTATATGCCTGAAGTATTTCATAATAAAAAATTAAAACATATTAAATCATGCCCAACAAATTGTTTCTAGTGAAAAATAATAAAATAATTTGAAATTGGCTATGTTTTGGGAAATTTTGGATATATGTTGTCACATGCCAGCAGTTGAGTCTTAATCTATTGTGGCTTTTACTGCACCGAGTAGCAATTATTTATTTTTATGTTTGTTTCTATTCTCTTTCTCTCCCCAACCCTCACTGGACCACAAGCTCTAAGAAAGAAGACTCTCATCTACTCATTTCTTAATCCCCAGTGGCTATGACAGTAGCATGGGAGCAATATATGTTTATTATGTTTTTAATAATCAGGAGAAGAGAAAACGGGGACTGGGGAGAGAGATGGCAGGTAGTGCAGACGGCAAAGCCTAAGTAATTATTTTTTCAATATAATCAAAAAAGCAGACGTTCTGCTTTTGTTTGAGCGCTGCTACATATGGGCAATAGGTCTGCAGTGGGGCAGCTGGGGTCCAGGCCACAGGGCCTGATGTGTTTGAGTTCCTGTTACAGTGACAGCCACTTTGTTACATGTTTCAGGCAAAGAGTTTGGCGTTATCCTCACAACTTGGGGAGTTCGGCATTATCACTGCTTTTCACAGATAAGGAAACTAAGGCTCAGTGAATTTGAGAATGGCCAGAGCCACCCACCTGCTCATTAGCAAGGTCAGGTTCATATCAGACTCTCTGGTCCCACTTGTCCCCTGGGAGGCACTACATCCAGGCACTGTATCTGCATCACACAAGGCAAGCCGCAGATCTGCTGTGAGGCCACTCACTCATGTATTCACATATTCATTCATTCAACAACACCTGCATTCCAGGCACTACTGCACCAGGCACTAGGATACAGTGATGAATGGCTCAGACTGACACCCACCACAAGGAGTCCCCCAACTAGTGGGGGCTTAGATGCACAAACACAGCTCCCCCTGCACAGACCAGTTATGGGACAGGCGCTGTTCAACCGGGCTGTGGTGGTAAAAGGAGGCAAAACATCACCCGTGTAGAATGTCAAGGCTTCCTGCAAGAATGACCTCCAGATGAGACCAGGTGAGGGTAGGTGGAGGGAAGACAGGAGGGTGTTTGGCAGGGAAGGAGGATTGTCCCTTTCAAGAAACGGCAGCCTCTCTGAGGCCTGAAGATGAATGAGCAGAGTGTCAGGGCTTCCCGTGACAGCTGCTTGTGCATTCTTCCCGAGTATCCCATTCATCTGCCTTCCAGGCTCCAAGTCCTTGGCTTCAGGGACCTCCCTTGGGCCCCCACATTGCTTCCACACAGACCTACCCACCCCATCTGTGTTAGTTCAGGCCCTCCGAGAAAGCAGAAACCGAGACAGGATTAAACATGCAAGAAATCTGTTAGGGGAAATGCCTGTGGGAAAAAATGTAGAGGCCAGGGGAGGCTGGAAAAGCCACAAGTCCATGATGCAGACCTGACTCCCGGTGAAGGAGCAAGGGAGGGGAGGGAGGGATGGGGGAAGTGTTTTAGACAATCCTACGGAAACTTTGGCAAGGCTGTCTGGGAGTCCTGGAGCCAAGGTTGCCCACGAGAGGAGTCCCACGTCTCCAGGAAGGGCCCTTCCTCATTATCCCTGCCCCGCTCCTCCATTGGCTGGGGGTGGCCAGGGGCAGTCAGGACACAGCGTTTGTGCTAGATTTTGGAAAGCAGTTGTGGGGACCGCTGGGCAGTCATGCTCCCTGAAGCTGGGTATCTGAGAGGAATATTCTCCATGGCCACCACACTCCCCTAGATTTGGTAACCCTGCACATCTGGCTTCTGCTTCAGCCCCTGTCCCTGGGATCTGCCAAGGGAAGCAGTCCTGAGAAAAGGTGGCATCGGGTAGTGGTGAGGGACACAGCTTCACAGCAGCCCCCATTTCTGCCATTGACCATGGGTACTGCAGGCAAGGCACTGAACCCCCCAGTTTCCTCGTGGGTAAGTGTGGATAATGACGGTTCCTGTCTCCTAAGGTTGTGACAGAAGTACATGAATTAAAACACATGGTAAGTGCCCAATAAATGGTATCTATTATTATTTTAATGGATCCATTTTTGATTTAGGGGCCATTTCAATGCATTGGTTTGATGGGGCTGCATCAAAATGTAAAAGCTGTGCACTCCCACCGCTGCTGTGTGCCAAATATACCTACACCTCACTGTGTCCTAAATCCTTCACCATCTTTCCACGAAGCTGCTCCTTACCCTGAGGCTTGGTTTGGGGTCCTCCTCTGAGCCTGTAGCCTCCTTTTCCCACAGAACTTTTTACAGTGATTGGTTGCACATTTTGTCGTCGTTGTTGTTGTCATTTCTTGCAATAAACTGAGAATTCCTGCGGGGGTGAGGACGATGTCCTGTTTCCTGCCACATCATCAGTGCCTACATGTTGGCTGACCCCTGCCCTAGCCAGGCTCAAACCCAGGGTCAGCCACTCTCTAGGGTCATGCAGGGCGTTTGCCTGAGAGGAGAGGGGGACTGCAGTCCACCTTGTGGCTTGGTGGCCAGTGGTGTGCTCAGGGGCTGTACCTGCCTGAATGAGGCAGTGTTCTAGTTTGCATTCACACAACATTGCTTACAGCTTGTCATGCGAGTCTCTGATGGACTGCACCTGTCCAGAGGAGAGTACTTTTCTTATTTGATAAAGATACTGTATTGGTTAACAGCAACTCAGCCAATAACCCAGGCTGAGAATGTGTGCAGAAGCACCAGCACAGTGCCTCACACTGTGTCAGCTACTCCTGCAAACTTCTGGAAAGGCTTTGATGAGCTCTTCTGAGTCTGTTTCTGCCTTAGCAACATGATGGGTTAGGTTCATGTTTCTAAGGTCCTCTCCTGCCCCGATATTCAGTGATTAGAGGAAGCCTGGTGTTTGGATACTGCTGAGGTGTGAGGGCAAGGGCTGCCTGATATGGAGTTTAGAATGGTCGCATCCTCTCCTGGGCTAGGGTTAGCCTTGCCCATCACCCTGTTCAGTTCTCGTCTCCTCCTCCAAGAAGCCTGCCTGAGCAAGCCCACATCCATCGTATTTGCTTTGTACTTTATATTTTATTAGGTGCCTTTGATATATTACTTCCTTTAATTCTCACAGCAACCTAGTGCTATATCTTTGTGTTATATTGATGCTATATCCGATAGATGAGGGAAAAGGAACTCAGAGAAGTTAAATAACATTCACAAGGCCACACAGCTAGTACAAGGCCAAGTTCAGGCTTAAACACAAGTCTAGGCAGTAGAATTCCTACCCATCTTATTTATGCTGCTTTATAATTTTTCTCTGCTTGCATATTTCTCTGTTTCTGGCCCCATTTAGAATATAAAAACCTCAAGGACAGGGGACACGATCCCACTTCATTCCATCCTCTCCCAAACATATCATGCACACAGTTAGTGCTGTCTAAATGCTGTCTGAGTAACAGTGGAAATCCTTGACATGCCCTGGGCATATGTCAAGCCCTGGGAAGGACCTGTACAAATACAGACCTCAGTGTATGCATGACAATACACACATTGATGTCTTCCATGCATACACATGGTATAGCTGGTATGATACCTTTAACGGAACATCTCTAATTAAACAACAAAAATGCTATTCTGCCTGTGCCTGCTTGGCAGTTGTGGATTGGTGGCCAGAGCACTTTGCTTCCACATTTCTGCAGTGTGCCGTTCCCTGCTCTTCAACTGTCCTCCTTACAGCCCAGGCTCTGCACCTCCTGTCGTTCAGTATCTGGTCTTCCTTGACCCCTCTGGCTGGATGCAAGATCCATTTGCTTGGAGCTGTGAGCTCAGCTTCTCTCATGCAAACCTTCCTATCTCTTCCTAGCTTTGGGGCATTCACCCACAATCTTGGAGACCCAGCTCCACAGATGGTCCCAGTGGACAACCCCACAGTCTGTCTCAGATTCTCAAACTCTACTGAAACACATGACAAGGACATGTACAGAATTCATATATCTGTGATGCCATGGACTCACACAGGTGGGTCCACATGGCCATCCACATCTGTAAATGTCCACCAGGCCAAGTGCAGAGACATTGAGGCACATTTTTGCCCATGGAGGCAGAAGCAGCATCCACATGCAAACCCATTTATGCATGCAGGATGTGCCCAGGCCGTAGATACATGTACACACAGACTCTCAAGCATGCATATGACCTTATGCATATGAGACTCAGTATGTGGGTGCTCATACCCCTTAGGATGTGGATACCAGTGTATGCAAACACCATATGCCTTGAACATGAAGATTTACACACTGCCATGCAAGGGCCAGGAAGGCAGCCTTAGCCTCCTTCTCCCCAGGGTGCCACACACAAAACAGATTTCATCACAGATCATGGCCTTTCAAAGACACAGGTTCACACCTTCTCCTTGGAGCCAGCTCTTCCCTTGTCAAGTTGTCTGGCCCTAGGAAGGTGACAGAGCTTATGTCTAGGAGTCCCCAGGCACTCATACGACGACCTGTCACCTCCACACTCAGCTACTCCTCTCACCAGGAGCTCTCTGCTCTCAGTGGGGAAGGCACTAAGGCTCAACGTAATTAAATCTCTCTCTTTTCACTTCAGCAACATTGATCTGTGCAGGGACACACTCTTGACTCCAAAGGAACAAAGCTTTTAATTTCTTGGCTGGAATACACTGTTCTTAGACTTGTTTCGTATGTGAGACATAGGAGTGAAAATTGCAGCATACTTTCTCATCTTCAGAGTATGACATTGCTTATGAAGCACTTTTTCACCATTTCATTTGAGTCTTACAATCATCCTATGAGATAAATAGTACATAAACTACCCCCATTTTACAGACAAGGAAGCTGAGGTTATAACAATAAGAACGACAGTTGTCCCTGAATTCCTACTATGTGTCAGGCACTGTTTTAAGTTCTGTACATGTTTCAGTTCTTTCAATCCGTACAATAACACTCAGAGGTATGTCTGTCTTCATCCCTATTTTACAGAGGAGGAAACTGAAGCACATAAGGTCAAATGAACAGCCTGAGGTTACCTGCTTAATAAGAAGTCTGGCTAAGTTGTATGCTATTGAAGTTAAAGGGATTTAATGCGGGATATTTGTCTTCTGGGTGAAAATCTAAAGCAATGGCTCCCCATATTCTGACCACCGATGACCACATATCTGATTTTCTTACATCATTAACTCCACCCTTGAAAGATTTCATCCAATAAAAACACTGTACTCATTAAAAAATCACCTGTATTGTGCCATTTTAATGAGACTTGAAGTTTTGAGAACAGCTTGGGGATACCCTGAACCGCTAAAAATTGCTACTGGTTGAGATGCCTTGGGATTGAGGGTATCCAGACTAACACCTAGAATACAGAAAAGAATTTAGTTAAGAAACCTTCTTTGGGAGGCCGAGGCGGGTGGATCATGAGGTCAGGAGATCGAGACCATCCTGGCTAACAAGGTGAAACCCCGTCTCTACTAAAAATACAAAAAATTAGCCGGGCGCGGTGGCGGGCGCCTGTAGTCCCAGCTGCTCGGGAGGCTGAGGCAGGAGAATGGCGTGAACCCGGGAAGCGGAGCTTGCAGTGAGCCGAGACTGCGCCACTGCAGTCCGCAGTCCGGCCTGGGCGACAGAGCGAGACTCCGTCTCAAAAAAAAAAAAAAAAAAAAAAAAGAAACCTTCTCAGATCGACGTGGATCTCAATCTTGTCTCTGCCAATTACCCCCCTGAGTCCTTGGGTAAGTAACATCACCCCTGTCAGCCTCAGTTTGTTTGCCTGCAGTGTCAGATGGAATAGCACCCAGACTGTAGCATACAAGGGAGAGCAGCATGATTGTGGATGCCCCACAATTCCTTGGTGTGAGGAGAGAAATATTTGTAATTGTCAGAAACATGATATAGCTGGCAGAAGTATATGAAATCAGTTACATAAATTGTGAACTACATCTCAAAGTTCTATTAGTTCTGAGACAGGGTGAAAATCAGCGCATTTCTCATCAGGATAGAAAATAAAAACAGAAAAAATCAGGAGCCATTGGGAATAATTCAGCCTCAGAGAGAGTTCAGTGCCTTCATCGGTAGTCTTTGGGGTGCTCGTAGAACCACCATTGTTCATCTCCACACTTGCTGGCTCCATATCCTTTGATGTGTATGTACCTTTCTGACCCTTTTTTAGCTGCTTAGTAGGTTAGCTGGGGTTGACTGTGGTTTTGTCCTTGGTTAATGTGATTATGTGAAAACAGCTTTGGACAGATTTTTCTCTTGCTTTCTCTTGGGCCATCCCTGAGTAGCACTGGCCCGCCAAAGCCTTCATCTCTTCTGTGTCTCCATCTTTGCTTTTTCCCTTCTAGCTACCCCTGCCTTTTCCTTACTTTTAATTGCTCCAAAAGAATGAGAGCAAGTTTCAATCACATTAAAAGAAAGAACTAGACTCTAAGACAGTAGTCTTCACTCTTTTTTGATCATATTCCTCTACTGGCAATAAAAATTTTGAGCTTCTAGTACCAATGTATATATATTTCTATATTAACACAGTACACAGTTAACTTCTGTACTAATATTTTATTTCTAAAACATACATAAGTGGACATTTTTAAGATGGAGGTTTTTAAAAGCATGAGATAAAAATAAATAGTAATTTAAAATAATTTACTAATGGAAGAAAAATGCTTGCTTACACTGATGACTCTTTTAAGTACCCAGCCCACTGGGATAACCAGTGAAACTCTATCTGGTACAGAAGGCTTTCATAATCTTTTCTCAGCTCTAGTATTTTAAATAATATAATCTGTAACTCTACTTGACTGGGCACAAGTCATCCCTAATCAACCATAAAATGTTGAAAGCCAAACATGGAGTGAGAGTGTCATGGGTGGCTCCTCTGCACCATGGGGCACTTACACTTTCTCCAGGATCTCTGACAAACAGTAGGTGACAAATACTGAGCATTCATTTTCATCTGTAAATTGCATCTTAGTAAACCTTCATAGATTTTAAATTTAAATATCTAAATTGAAAGGCCAATATGTTTTTTCCCCTTAGCTCCCATGAATCATTATACACACTGTCTGGGTGGAGCCCAGTCAGAGAGCAATGAGATTCAGGACTACGGACAGCTACACACATGCGTGGGAAGGGACCCTCTTTCCAATAGTCTGCCTGTGACACCTATCTGATAAGACAGTTATGAGAAATAAATAAAATGACATAGTAAGTGTTCAGTAACTATTCATTTCTTCCTTCTCCTTCTCACTATTCAACCTGATGCCAAGTGAAGGAAGGGAGACAGGAATTCAGGACAGATGTTCTGGCCAGAAATAAAAAACAATGCAATTTTGGAAATGTTTCTCCGTAGAAGTGTTTCTGGTCCCCACCTCTCCAAACACAACACCCCAATTAGAAGAAAGGTTGTATGGGTACTGAGTGTCATATCCTATTGAAATACAGATAATGCACCCTCCTTCCCTGCCCAGTCCCACGTGTGTGCATCTCTACCACAGATATGTCCTACTGGTGCCATTTTCCTCATCTGATAGGATCAGGCATCTTAATACCCTCTGGGTCTGACCCAGAGCTCCTGGATAGTAAAATGGTATATATATATGCCTAGACTTTGTGCTTCAACTCTTGTGGAGTCATCCATGCTCTCTGCTCAAAGGGAGCTCTGGGCACTTAGCCCAGTTCATGTTTATGGTGGTTTCAACATATGTCCACAAATTCTTCAGTACTCTTCCTTTCAAGATGTGGAGTATAAATCCTCTCTTAGTCCAGGTTGGACTGGACTTTGTGATTTTCTTCTTTTTCTTTTTTTGAGACAGAGTCACACTCTGCCACCCAGCTGGAGTGCAGTGGCATGATCTCAGCTCACTGCTACCTCTGGATCCTGCATTCAAGTGATCCTCATGCCGCAGTCTCCTGAGTAGCTGGGATTACAGGCATGCACCATCAAGCCAGGCTAATTTTTGTATTTTTAGTAGAGATGGGGTTTTGCCATGTTGGCCAGGCTGGTTTTGAACCCTTGGCCTCAAGTGATCCATCCACCTTGGCTTCCCAAAGTGCTGGGATTATAGGTGTGAGCCACCATACCCGGCCCTGTGACTTGTTTCTAATAAATAGAATAAAGTATTAATGATAGTATGTTATTTGTGAAATTACATTATAAAAAGACTGGATGCTCCTTCTCTCTCTGCACTCTTATTTTTGTTCCCTCTCTTTTTCTTTCTTTCTCCTTTGGGCCTCTTGCCCTTGGAAAGGCCAGTTGCCATTCTTAAGAGTACTTGGAGAGCCTTGTGTAGACGCCCATGTGGTAAAGATCCAGGATGATTACCAACAGCCCAAGAGAAACCAAGGCCTCCTGCCAACAGCCTGATCACTAAATTCTCTTGCAAGTTGATTATCCTGCCCCAGTCAAGCTTTCAGATTACACAGCCCAAGCCAACAGTTATTTTGCAACCTTGCAAGAGATCCTGAGCCAGGGCTACCCAGCTAAGCTGTTCCCCAATTTCTGAACCTCGGAAACAGTGAGATAATTCATGTTTATTGTTTTAAGATCCTAGGTTTTGGTGATTTTGTAACATTGCAGTAGATAACGCAATGCTCAAAATCCTGAGCCCACTCTCTGTGTTCTTTGGCGGTTTTAATTTTTGTCTTCTTAACTTTTCCAAAGAAATGATTTCTGGGCTAATCCTGTTCTGGTCCTAAGCTGCTATTGTTCATTCTCCTATCTTACACTCAGCTTTCTTATCCAAAACAACAGCTACCATGCATTAAGGACTTTCTCCATTCCAGGCATCATGCACACATATATTATCTCACCACTCATCTCTACCTTAATATCAAGTGACCATATGAATATCCTTATATAATGAGGAAACTGAGGCTCAGAGAGGTTAAAAAAACCTGAGCCACATTAATATTTAGACTTTGGTAAGTAGACTGCAAACCGTTTTTTTTTTTTGTTTGTTTGTTTGTTTGAGACAGAATCTTTGTCTGTCACCCAGGCTGGAGTACAGTGGCACAATCTCAGCTCAATCTCAGTTCACTGCAACCTCCACCTCCTGGGTTCAAGCGATTCTCCTGACTTAGCCTCTCAAGTAGCTGGGATAACAGGCATGCACCACCATGCCCAGCTAATTTTTGTAGTTTTAGTACAGAAGGGGTCTTGCCATGTTGGCCAGGCTGGTCTCGAACTCCTAAGCACAAGTGATCCACCCGCCTTGGCCTCCCAAAATGCTGGGATTACAGGCATGAGCCACTGTACCCAGCCTGCAAAACATATTCTTTTAACCACTTTGCTACCTGTAGCTTTGATACTGGTACCTTTTAGTTACTTACAGATTTTGGAGTAGAACAAACCTGGATTCAAATCCTGGCTCCAAATTGACCAGCTGATCACTGTTTCCACCTCTCTAAAATGGGGAAACAACACCTATCTCCAAAGGATCTTTGAGGGGTAGAGGCAAGAATATATAGAAAGTGTCTGCCTGTCTCACTAGACCAGTGCTGTCTGGTAGAACTTTCTGTGACAATGGGACTGTTCTGTCGGTCTGATATGGCAGCCACTAGCCACATGTGGCTATTGAGCATTTGAAATGTGGCTAGTATAAATGAGAAACTGAATTTTTAATTATATGTAATTTAAACCAATTTGAATTTAAGAAGCCACCTGAATCTTGTGACCACTGTGTTGGGCAGCACTAGACTCTGTGCTCCGGGAAGACAGGGGACATGCCTGTTTGGATCAAATGGCATATTCAGCACTTAGTACAGTGCCTGACATAAATGAGTTACTTGTAACTAATTGTTGAATGAATTAATGTATGAATGAGTGAGTGGTCCATCATGGGCTTTCAATAAATAGCATCTATCAGCCAGGCAGAGCGTTGATGTGTAGCGGACCATTCTTGCCTTTTCTCCCCACCTTTCCCCGTCAACAACAGCCAATTATGTTCTCCTGAAGAAATGTCATGTGAGCACCAGGAATTGGACAGAGACTAGATTTCAGGTGACTGGGGGGACAGAGGGAAATAAAAGAAGACTCCTACATCTTTAATGGGCCACAGAGGACAGGAAGCCCTCACCCCCACTCCAAGACTGACTAGGAAGTTTGTCTGTAACAGAGACGGTTTAATTAATGATGAGACTCCATGACAGGGAGGCCAGAGCAGCCCTAAATGTCACCTTCGTTATTTTTCAAGCCAACACAACGAACTGCCTTCCGTGTTGGCTTCCATGTTGTTATTGCTCTGCCTCGGGGTTAAGGGATTTTTTTCCCTAATCTGTACAACATGAGCTGTGTAAGTTCAGCAAGGGCAGGAGGTGAGATGGCACAGGCCGCTTAATAAGGGGTTTGGCTGTCACTGAGCTGGAGCTATTGTGTAGACATGAGGAGGTGGCCAGCTGGGACTCTTTTTCTCACTACCTCCCCGAAATACCGTGCCTGTCTTTCCAGCCTTGGGAGGGAGGGAGCACTGTCTGACTCTCGGGTGGTTTTCCTCGCTACTTCTTGGATCAATATTCTAGACTAAAACAGAATGCAGCCTGGCTGGGAAGAATGAATTCTGGGCTGAGGGCCAGGAGAGGCAGGTTGGAGTCTGGACTCTGACATGACTGGTATGAGTGACCTCTGACAGTTCACTTCCAATCCTGAGACCTCGATTTTCTACTGTGCAAAATGAGAGGAGATGGAACAGGGCAAACTTTAAGACTCCTTTAAGTTATAAGCTTGCATACTGGCAGAAAGGATGGATTTTGCGGGCACATAGACTAAAGTTTAAACCCTGGCTCTGCTCCTTCTGAGCGGTTTCTTAGTCTTTCTGAGATAATAATAATAGAACCTTACAGGGATGCTGTAAGAATTAAATGAGATAATGAATTCCGGGGGTCTCAACCCTGCATGCATATTAAAATCACCTGGAATGTTTTTAAAAAATACCAATGCCCATAGCTTCACCTCCAGAGATACTGACTTGTCTATAGTAAGGTCTGAGTGCTAGGATTTTAACAGCAAGCTCCTTAGGTATTTCTGAGCCATACTTAAGGCTTAATTGGAGGTGGTGGAGCTTATATGTAGCTGGAGCTTCATAAGTATTTGGTGACTCAATGGATATTTTCGAGATTTGTGTCATCATCTTTCTGCAAACCTTGCTTTCTGGCCCTAAGTTACACATGCCAAAAACCAGCCACAGGCTTGGCAAATACAAATCCCCGCTGATCCTTTCTTCCTTCTGCCGTCCTCACTCAGCCTTCCCTAGTCCTCACACTCCTCCATTGCCACATCCCTCCTGTCCATGCCTCCATTCCACTCCCACCCCTGCCTGCTCTGCTTCGGACCATAGTTAATGCATTTCTGAGTTCTTTCCTTACAAAGAACCTACTTCATCACCTTCCCACTTCTAGTATTCAACTCACACCCTCCCCCCAGACAAATCGGTAAAACATAGTGATTATGAATGTAGACTCTGTAGCCAGACAATCCAGGTTCTAATCCCAGCTGAGCTGTGTGATCTGGGATGATTTTCTTGACCTCTCTGTGCTTCAGTTCTCTCCTATGTGTATGGGGATCCCCCAAGATCCCAGTCTTTGAAATCAGTTGCTCTCCCTCATTTGACCTTCCCTTACAGTGTTACCCTGAATTTAGGGAAGAAAAGAAAATTGAGAGATTCCAAGTATTGAGCGTAGTACTGAATGCTTTCCATACTTTATGTAATTTCATCTCCACAAAACTAAGTGAGGTAGATGCCCGTTTTATAGATGACGCAAGTGAGGCAGAGACAAGTGATGTCGTCTGCCCACTGTCATACACTGAGTGGAGGTAGAGCCAGGGCCCTGCTCTGGGCTGACTCGGAGCCCCTGCTATGGGTGTGCCCCTGACTGATGAAGAGCTATCCCTTTGGGGACATTTTTCTGATCTGATTGACCTCACAGCTCTGCGAGAGATGCTTATAGAGGGAGAGGAAGGAAAGAAGGAGACACCACTCACTTGTTCAACCACAGAATCAGAATCAACCGTCCAATTTGTGACAGATATCCAATTAGAGGATATATTTGTGTCTTTTTGTTTTTTAAAGGAAAGGCAATTGGGAGGGAATAGTAGACTGAAGTAACCAGCCTAAGATTCTCCAGCAAAATTGTGAATAATTAAATAGAATAACATTCATTCTTTTGTGTATCCCTTTGTAGTGATAGAAAAGAAAAACAGTCAATTCCCAAAGACCTCTGAAGTTCATTGAGCATAATTCAGTAGGTGTTTACTAAACTGCACCGCCTCACCCCTCTCTCCGCCTCCTGATCACTTCATTTCCAATTCTGCCAAGTTCCAATGGCCAGTGCCTGCATGTCTCTGCTGAGGACCATCTCTGACTGCTGCAGCGCATTGCGCCTGTCCGCGGGGTGGGCCTGCAATCCTAGGGTATTAAGGCCACGTAGAAGCACCCCTCCCTGATGACTGACAGGTGTTGGTGAGTAACCACCCTAGCTCCCTCGCCCTGTGGAAGGGCAACTCTACAGTGTGCATCCTGCACTCCCAGGGCTTTCCCAGTGGGCATAAGCTCCATTTGCTCACAAGTCATAGCTGGATTTTAAATGCATCAGCCCCTGGCTGCCTTTCCTTCCCCCTCCCACACTCCTGATCCCCTGCAGGTGTTTCCTGGGATCCTCTCCCAGTTGAACTACTTGCTCTCACTCAGAGCGGCTGCTGGAAGAACTCAAATATAGACACTTCCTCAGAACTGTGCAAGGTGATAGGGAAACAGATGGAAAAGACATTCTCTTTAAAGAGCTCATGAGCTGGAGAGAAAATGTGCAAATGCAGTTTCGGATGGTACACGTCACCACTGAGTGACCTGAAGGCAGCACGAGGGCAGGTCAGGCTAGATCTGCTCTTGGGGTGGTAGGATAAGCGAGGGATTTCAGTTTTACAGAAAAAATAAATATTCAAAGGTAGGAAGAGGGTGTGACCACGTATTTTCTTTCCTGAGAAAGGAGAAAAGCGCTTTACTGTCACAAACTGAGTGTGGAGAATTGTTTTGTCTGTGAACAGGCGGAACTGATGAAATCTCAGAAAGGCCTAGAGCAGAGGGGACAAGGCAGCCGCCTCTCAATCAAGCCCTGGGTGAGGAGGGAGGGTCCCCAGGTGGTGGGGAGCAGGAGGAGGCTGATGCTACTTAGAAAGCAAGGAGGTGTGGCCCTCGGACGTGGGTTCCTTTCCTTGCCTCCTTGAGTGCCCTTCACAGACACGCCCCTGCACCCGCCCCTAGCCTGCCCTGACATCCGTCGACAAAGCTTTTCTGTGTTGCTGTGGCCGTCTCTTGCTCAAGGTGAACTCTGAGTTTGGGTCGACTCCTGCAAGCGTCTGGCTCTAGGAGGCCTCCTGACCTCACCCACCCAGGGCCTTCTCTTGCTCTGGCCCACCTGAATGGGTCTGAAGATGAGGCTTCACTGGCTGCCCCCAAACTGCAGTTGCTCCTGCAGCTGGACGTGTAGTCTTGACTTTGCATCCCAGGGAGAGCTGTGTGTTTGTAGCCTGCCATTTCTGTGAGTTAATTCCAGAGGCAATTATTGTATTGCCTGCTCTTGCCACAGCCCCTCGATGGAGCAGCTCATAGGCCATTTGATCCCGTTCTTTATCCAATTGCTAATTGGGCCAGAGGTGAATGCCCAGTCGAAGCCCAGAATTGTGTAGCAGATTTAAAAAGTTGGGCTGAGCCAATTGATATTTCTCTCCAAGATTTGGTATCGAAAACTTAAAGAGACTGCTGCTAGTGTGTAGCACGGAGGTGATGTGGAGCTGGAAGACTTGGGGGCCTTGTACAAGCTGATGTGCAAGCAGGAGAAAGCAGGTGTGAGGGAGAGCCAGGGCTTGGAGCAGACCCATGGGGAAAAGGAGAGGCTGGGCAGGCCTGGGAGCTAGAGGTCAGGTCTCCATTCCTGAGTCCTGACTCTCCTCAGTTTTCTCTCACAGGTTCTGTGAGATCTTTGTGAAGTCCTACAATCAATAAATGCCTTCTACTAAAGCTAGTGCAAGGTGGGGGAGGTTTTCCTCCATACAGCCAAGAATCTTGGTGGAAACAGAACCCGAGGTAGCTGCAGCCCTTGGAGAGCACCTGAGGGCAGTGAGAAGTGTTTCTGCAGAGGCAAGGATGGCATCCCCAGCGCATCAAGGAGGTTGACTCCAGAGGGGCTTATTTCACAAAGCCTTTGCAGCACGCCTCGGGTCACGGGCCACCTGGGCCAGTGAGATTCAAAAGGAGAGGAATTTCGAGAGGCAGGATTCCAGTAATTAGTTGAGATTGCTACAGATAGGCTGACAGGAGTGAAGGAGATCCTTTCAGGTTGGGACAGTGTGAGCAAAGACTCGCGAGTAGGAATATAGCCATTCACCATTGTTATTATTGCTGTTCTCAATTATAATTATTATATGAGCTTACATGCAGTCAAGTCGACTTCCTTTCCCTGGGTAAACATGTATAGATTAGTGACACTACCATCACCTTCAGGACACAGAGGAGCCTGTCACCCCCAAAACTCCCTGTGCCCCTTTGCTTTGAGTGCTTCACACTCCCCCACCTCTACCCCCCGGTGATCACTAGTTCTCTCTCACTAGTGTTTTACCTTTTCCGGAAGGTCATATAAATGGAATCATGCACGGTATCTTTTGAGATGGTCTTTTCACTCAGCACGATGCCTTTGAGATTCATCCATGTTGTTTGTTGTTGTTTTTAATTGCTAAGTAGTATCCCATCGTATGGATAAACTGCAATGTGTTTATCCACGCCGCATTGTTTCCAGTGTTTGGTAATTATGAAAAGAGAAGTTATACCATTTATGTACAGGATTTTGTGTGAATATACTTTTTCATTTTTTCACTTTAATTACCTAGGAATGGGACTGCTGAGCTGTATGGCAAGTGTAGGTTTAGCTTTGTTTTTTTTTTGTTTTGTTTTTTGTTTTTTGTTTTTTTGAGATGGAGTCTCTCTCTGTCGCCCAGGCTGGAGTACAGTTGCTTAATCGTGGCTCACCGCAACCTCCACCTCCCGGGTTCAAGTGATTCTCCCGCGTCAGCCTCTGAGTAGCTGGGAGTAGTACAGGCACCCACCATCATGCCCAGCTAATTTTTTTTTTTTTTTTTTTTTGGTATTTTTGTAGAGATGGGGTTTCACCACGTTGGCCAGGCTGGTCTTGAACTCCTGACCTCAGGTGATCCGCCTGCCTTGGCCTCCCAAAGTGCTGGGATTACAGGCGTGAGCCACTGCGCCTGGTTTAGCTTTGTATGAAACTGTAGACTTTTTTGCAGAGTGGCTCTGTGATGTTGCATTTCCACCAGCAGTGAATGAAAGTTCCAGTTGGCCCACATCATCGTGAACATGTGGCTTTGTCTTCTTTTTTTTTTAGCCATTTTCATAGGGTTATAATGGTATCTCTATCTCATTGTGATTTTAATTTGCATTTTCCTAGGGGCTGATAATGTTTAACATCTTTTATGTGCATATGTGCCATATGAATAATTTCTTTGGTAAAGTGTCTCTTTTTTTGCCCTTTAAAAAAAAAGGATGCAGGCCAGGTGCAGTGGCTCACGCCTGTAATCCTAGCACTTTGGAAGGCCAAGGTGGGTGGATCATCTGAGGTCAGGAGTTCGAGACCAGCCTGACCAACGTGGCGAAACCCCCCTCTCAACTAAAAACACAAAAATTGGCCTGACGTGTTGGCTCGCACCTGTAATCCCAGCCACTCAGGAGGCTAAGGCAAGAGAATCGCTTGAACCCAGGGGGCGGGGCGGTGGGGCACAAAGGTTGCAGTGAGCGGAGATCGTGCCATTGCACTCCAGTCTGGGCAACAAGAGTGAAACTCCGTCAAAAAAAAAAAAAAAAGGAAAGAAAAAAAGTGGATGCTTTGCTTCTTACTGTTGAGATTTGAGACTTCTTTATATTTTTCTGAATATAAGTCTTACACTGAGTATGTGAGCTGCAAATATTTTCTTCCAGTCTTAACTTGTCGTTTGTTTTCTATTGCTCCATTTATCATTAACTGTGTTTCCCTCTGTTTATCTTTGGTATTTTTTTCTATCCTGATGTTTACTAAAGCCCGTCTAGCTTTCTTATGATCAGTATTTGTATAGTATGTCTTTTCTTGTCCTTTATCTTTTAAAATATACTTTTTATTTTGGAATAACTTTATGTATTCAGGGCGTTCTCATGTATCCTTCACCCATTTTCCCCTGATGTTCACATCTTACATTATCATGATATGTTGTCAACACTAAGAAATTAATACTGGCACAATACTATTAACCAAATTACAGACTTTAATTTGGATCCACCCATTTCTTCACTAAAGACTTTTTTCTCCTCTAGGATCCAATTCAGGATTTCTTATTACATTTAGTTATCATGTGTCAGGGATGGGCTCAGTGGCTCACGCCTGTAACCCCAGCACTTTGGGAGACTAAGGTGGGAGGGTCGCTTGAGCCCAGGAGGTCGAGATCAGCCTGGGCAAACAGTGAGACCTTGCCTCTACAAAAAATCAAAATAAAAAATTAGCTGGGTGTATGGCATGTGCCTACCGTCCCCTCTACTTGGGAGGCTAAGGCGGGAGGATTGCTTGAGTCTAGGAGGCTGAGGCTGCAGTGAGTCGTGATTGCATCATGGCATTCCACCCTGAGTGACAGAGCAAAATCATATCCCTGAAAAAATAAAATTAAATTAATAAAAATTTAAAAAATTAGAAAGTTATTGTGTCTCCTTGGTCTCCTCTGATTTGTAACACTTTCTCAGGCTTTCCTTGTTTTTCCTGACCTTGGCAATTTTGGTGAGTACCGGTCAGGTATTTTGTAAAATCTCCCTCAATTTGGGTTGTCTGACACTTTCTTATGATAGACTAGGGTTGCACAGGTGTAGTGCCCTTCTCATTGTATCATCTCAGGGAATACCTGATACCAACATAACTGCTGACTTTAACCTTGATCTCTTGGTTACAGACTTGTCTGCCACATTTCTCTCTGTCAAGTTACTGTTTTATTTTATTTTATTTTATTTTTTGAGACGGAGTCTCGCTCTGTCACCCAGGCTGGAGTGCAGTGGCGCGATCTCAGCTCACTGCAATCTCCGCCTCCCGGGTTCACGCCATTCTCCTGCCTCAACCTCCCGAGTAGCTGGGACTACAGGTGCCTGCCACCACGCCCGGCTAATTTTTTGTGTTTTTAGTAGAGATGGGGTTTCACTGTGTTAGCCAGGATGGTCTCGATCACCTGACCTTGTGATCCGCCCGCCTCGGCCTCCCAAAGTGCTGGGATTACAGACGTGAGCCAACTGTTCGATTTTTCCTTTCCGTATTCTGTTTTTTGGAAGCGAGTCACTAAATCCAGCCCACACATTGGGGGGAAAGAAATTGAGCTCCACCTCCCGGAGTGGGAAGCCACTCCTCAGACCAGGATTAGAAGATTTTTCTTAGGGCTTCTATTTTCACCCAGTGCATGGTTCTAGATTTCAGGTCACCTTTGAGTCAAGGACACGATGGGGGAATCCTGGAGGAAAAATCAACAGGAAATTCACCAACAGTTTGCTCTTACTTGAAGTTGTTTCCTTGGCAGATTCACCCACTATCATTTGCTTTTCAGAGTCCTTAGATAGCTGCTCTATGATTTATTTGCAGGGTTTTCAGTTGCTTTTAGTAGGAGCAAGACAGAGTGAAGGGTGCATATACCATCTTGATTGGAACCAGAAACCCCTCATTTATTTTTTATTCTCCAATTATGTCACGTACTCCCATTCACTCATTCACATATCCCTCATTCTTTTATGCATTATTATATACCTGCTTATAAAATCATACATATGTCAATGAATACCCCTGATTTGACCACATAATCAGGTGTTATGCTAGTCACTACAGATACAGACATGAAATATTGTTACTATCTCAAAAAATTCTTGGGCTACAAAGAAAACAGATGAATTATTAGATGTAAATACAGTGGAATGACTGCTATGATATATGGAAGCCCCAACTGCCTTAAATGAGGGGATCTGTAAGGAAACAGCCGCCTGGCTTCAGGAAGTTGTCTCCTTTGGGGACAAGTCAACGTGGGGTAGGCAAGCATTTCACTTTGAGAGGACAGCATGCACTGAGGCACTGGATTAGGAAATCAAGGGGGCACGTTTGAAGAAGTGGTGTCTTACCTCCAACCTAGGCCTCCCTGAGATTTCAGGACAGGGGTATGACTGAACACAATCCTAGAGTGGAGCACGAGGACTCCTCCAAGGTCATCCCTGAGTTTAGAAAATTTACATTTGGTGGTTGGTCTCTCCTATCCTATTCTCACCCATCCTGGGAAGTTCCATCTGCTTGGTTTTCTATTATTTGCAGTAGTGTAGGCTTTGTTTCAAGGACCCTGGCCAGTTTGTCAGAGGACATGCACATCATCTATGAAGGGCAGAAAAAGCAGCAGAGCCTGACTTTGCAGCTGCGTCTGAAAAAGGGTCAGAGTAACCTGGCTCCCACCCCGTGTTCAAGTCCAAGAGGACCCAAGTCCTGAGATTGACCAGTTATCCTCAAGAGCATTCCATCTGTCTCTTTTCTCCTCGATTCCAACCCCTGGGGGCTAAGATTCATTCCCGCGATACGTGCAGGTCCTACAGCCTCTCTGGCCCTTCCCCTGTGCTTGGCCAATTCATTCAGCCATTTATTCATTCATGCACGCGTGGATGTATCCAAGTGTATTCCACTCATATTCTATGCCAGACCTTGGTTTCACCATCCCTTTCCTATGAAAATTTTGTTTTGCCTTCTACGCTATTTCCATTTTTTCTACCTCAATGATTATTTCTTCCACTTTCTTTTGTTGGATTCTATTTCTTTCTCTACTCTATAAACGTGGATGGACCACCTTTGAACTGTTCTCATAATCCGCCCTACTCCCACATTCTTTAGCCCTGCTGTACTCACAGCCAAGGCAGCTGTGCAGTCCAGTGGTGAGACAGGGAAGGGATGCAAGCGTTTTACTCAGTCACTTAGTCTGCCTGCCAGAGCCTCAATTCCAGTAGCTGGGATTTTCCCCTTATTTCTGAGACATTAATGGGATCCCTAGTTATAGTCATCTCTTGTGCTTGTGTCCCCTGTCCCTAAATTTCTCCCTTGAAAATGTGTTGGGCTCTTGCTGCTCCTAGCCTTTTGTTTCCTCCTATAATTGGAGCTCCTTCACCTGCAAACTCAACACCAGGGCCAGCCCCCCATCTTGGAACACAGAATCAGTTCCCTGTGGATCTGGTCCAGTCTTCACTGCATGCTTCAGTATAAAGAGAAAAGCACAAACTGGGGTCAGATTCATCTGTGCTCCAATTCAAAATTGTGTGAGGCAAGTTGTGCAACTCTTTGATCTCAGTTTTCTTATTGTAAAATTGACCACAGGCAAAATTTCTGTTATCTACTTTCTGTTATCTACCTATCTTATCTATCTATCTACCTAACAAAACCCTATGTTTATATAGATATCAAGTAATCACAAACTTCTGGGGAGGAGGTTGAAGCCCCCAGTGGGTTAATCTTGATCTAAGCCAATCAAAGTAATTCCTTTATTTTGCCAACAACTGCTTTAAGTATGTGCATGTGTTGAAATTCTGGCCAATGAGGCATGAGGGGTATGTTTGCTGGGAGACACAGGGAAAGCATTTCTGCAAAAGAAAAAGGAGCCTCAGGGAAAGAAACACATACTTTTCTGCCCCAGAATGTTGTTATCTTATGTGATGCCTGGGCTGTGTTAGCCATTGCATGAGGCTGCATGTGGCAGACCAAAAGGACATGCCATTCCCCCGGGGGAATGGCAAGGTAGATTAATGAGAAAACCTGGTTCTGGATAACACTGTTAAGCCGCTTAATCAACCCTGAAACTCTGCCTCCTCCAGTCTTCTTATTGCATAAGACTTTTTTTTTTTTTTTGTTTAAGTCATTTTTAGTTGAGTTAATGCTACTCACAGGCAAAACTATTCTGATATACGGCATTAGAATACCTATCTTACCATGTTCAAATAAGAGACTCTCTGCTCATCTTTTAGATCTCAGTCCAAATGTCACCTCCTCAAGAAAGTCTTCCCTGATTGTTCATCCGAGCTCACATTGTTCTGTCATACATTTGCCATTAGCACTGTGTATCGTTCCTTCTTTTCTTTCATAGCACTGACGAGCGTTTGTTTATCTGGTTATTCACCCTCTCCCTCACTAATCTATAAGCTCTGGGAAGGCTGGCAGTGTTTCTTTTGCTGACCACTGTGTCTCTTGTAGCTAGAATGGTGCCCAACATGTAATTGGTTCTTAAATATTTGTTAAAGAATAAAAATTAATACATGAATATCAATAGGAAAAAAAACTGGTACATAGCAGGAAAGTTTATCTTTGTGTCCTTTCTGAGACTGAAAGTTGATCAACTCTCTCCTTTTTTTCATGTTGACAGATGACTTTGTACCCAGTCATTGGCTGATGTGTTTCAAAACAACTTTAAATGTACTTTGAAATGCGCCATTATTTCATCCCCTCAGGAGCCGGTGCAATTCCCGCCACCCCTTGCTACTATTCTTTCAGCATTCATGACAGTCAAGCAAACCCTTTCTTTGATTTTTCTTCCTCTACAGGCTCTAGGTGACTGATTAGTCATTACTTGTGAATAATGGCCAGGGAGGTTGCTGAGCCATGGAGGAATCTGGCCACCTGGCCACTGAGCACTCAGCTCTCAGCTAGTAAGATAAAAGCAATTTTGCCACCAACACCATCCTAATAGGATGTCCAAAGAGTTTCCTTCCACTGTTCAGTAGGGACCATGAGGATCATGAATGGAAGGTGATATGAGGGTTTGGGGAGGAATAAACTGGAACAGCTTGTCATCCCTCAGGAGTATTTCGGAAACAAGCCAGCACACCATGGTAATTTATTTTTGTGACACATTAGTTTGCCTTGGAGGGAGAAAGTATGAGAGTTTGGAGAGTTAGAGTTTACAGGGAGAGGGGCAGAGCTTATCCTTAGTTCTCTCTTATCCACTGACATGGAACAACAAGGATGGATGGCATTAGTAACAATAATAAAAATTACAGGCTCAAAGGAAATGGAGTTGACAGCAGAGAGTACACATGGTTAGTTATCTAGTCCAGCATTTCTCAGAAGATATTTGGCAGAGCACAAGTCTCTCAAATGCCCTTTGCTAAAAGGTTCATGGTTAAATTACTGTTCTTGGAGAACAGCATGCACTTACTTGTCCACCACCCCACCCCCAGCCCTTTTGACTGTACTTTGCTCAGTAAATAGGAAGGTCCCTGCATTATAAATAAATCAACTGGCTTTGTCTAACCCAGTGTTCTGGTGTTCATTTCACCAAGGAAACCCTTATTTTAAAAAATGAATATTAACAGCTTCTGGAAGGAAGATATTTTAGGAAATGCTGATGTGAGCAAGGGTGGTTACTAGGTACTCTTATCTAATATTTACTGAGAAATTTATTTATTCATTCATTTATTAGAGAAAGATATATTGAGAGACTCCTTTGTGTAACGTAATGGGCTGGGAGCAACGAACACAGATTTGGCCAATGCCTGCCTGAAGCTTATAATCTAGTGCACAAGACGAAATCAATTTCCCAATTAATTTCTTTTTTATTACTGTGGTGAGTCTACAATGAGGAGCGTAAGATATATGTAAATTTAAATAATGGTATAAAATAGATGGTTAGGGGTAACCAGGGAAGCCATGCTGGTTGTCCGGGACCGGGGATGTCCTGTGATGGGTGACTTTCAGTTCTAAAACAAAGACAGTCCTGGGCAAATCAGAATGGTTGCTTACCCTAATAGACCATGACTCCTGGAGTGCCATCTGAAAATCTTATTATGGCAGAGAGAACTCTGCCAGGCCGGAGACCTGTTCTCTGGGGTTGCTTCAGCTCCCTGAGCCTGACTTTCTGTCTCTGGGGAGTGGAGGTGATGAAGTCTCCTTTCTCTTATGTTTTTTGGGAATAACAAGTGGAGTGATTCCTATAGAAAGCCTTTACCAGATATCACACGCTTCCTAAGCACAAGGGATGAGTATTCCTTTAGGGAAACTGTAGTTTGTCACTCCTTGAAGGAAAGCCCCTATTTCTCCAGAAGAGGGTTTTCAGAGCACATCTCTCGCCACACATCCAGGTTTCTAAATCCTCCAGCAAGAAGCGTTTTTCACAGATCCAAGAACAGAAGCACCTGCGTAAGTTCACATGGGAGGTGTAAATCATGGAGGGGAGCCATTGAGATGCTTCAAGACAGCACTTCCTCCAGGCCAGAGAAGGCCTCAGCCCAAGAAGCAGCTTCCTGCTGCTAGGCAGGGTGGGGACAGAGGGCAGTGCCTGGCCTCTGCAGAACCAAAGAGCAGGCTTGCAGTGGGCTTGTGTACTCAGGCGAGTCTCATGATCTTCTGGGGTTTTAATGTCTTCCTCCGTAAGGTGGGAATATTGATTTTTATTTCATCCAATTATTGGGAACTTTATACTACTGCTACTAATATAGTCAGAATTTAATGAATTTACCATGCACTAGAAATTGTGCCATGTGTTTACATATACATTTAATCACCACAAAAAGTAGATTTGGTTATCTTCCATCTGACAAATGTAAAAAATGGGGCTTAGAGAGGTTAGGAGGCTTGCCAAGGTAGGGTGACCAATTGTCATTGTTTGCCCAGGACCAAAAGTCCCACATCGTGGGCAATCCCTTAGCCCCAGGGAACCTGGGATGGTTGGTCAAGCTAGAAAATCATACAATTAGCAAGTAGTGGAGCTGATATATATTTGAGGTAGAAGATTATTTGTTAAAATTGCTAAAAACACAACCAGCAACAATTATTATTGCCATTTTATATAGTATGTATATATCATATGCTTATATATAATGTATACATAAGATACATCATATTATTAATATAGTAACACTCATTATTTGATGAACTGCAATTTCAGTATAAACAAAGGGCTTCTAGCCTTCTAAGAAAGCCCCTTTCCATTAATAATGCTCATCTAACATTAGTGCTACTCATCAGTATTTATAGTTTTCTTCTTTCTGTGCCCAGAACCTTTGATCTCAGGCATGACCAGGTGATTTGTTTTGACCAATGAAATGTGAGTGCAAGAGATGTGCATCACTTCGGGGCAGAAACATGCAAGAATCAGGGTGCAATTTTTCATCTTCCTTGCAGTAAATGCTGATGGTGCCTCTCCCATATCATTTTTGCTGGCTGGGACACACTCCTCAGCTGCTGTGAGGGTTGGGGTGCTAACAGATCATAACTGTCTCTGCTCAGCAGGGTTAAGAGCACCAAATCCGGAGTCAGGCCACCTAGTTCAAGTCCAGCTCTGACATGAAAGGCTGTGTGCCCCTAGGCAAGTTGCTTAACATCTCTGAGCCTTAGTTTTCTTATCTCTATAAGGGAGAATTCCTACCTTATACCGTTGATGTGAGGATTATATGAGTAATGCTTTTAAGACTCTTGTAACAGTTTGGCACATAGTAAGCCCTAAGGTTGGCTGTTTTTATTTCTCCTGCTTTACTTGTTCTCTAGCATAGTATGACAGTGCATACCAAGGTTCCTCATATGTTGCTCAAAAGACAATTTTGATTAACATGTGGAGAGCCGAATTCCAGAGATGCTGAGCAATTTCTTCAGCATCACATGGGGCTTAATACTGGAGTTTGAATAAGAACCAAGACAGGAGAATGAGAGTAATAACAACAAGTCAGCAATTACTATTCACTAGGTACTGCATTATCTCATTTAATCTTCACAAAAGCATCTGAGTGGGACATTATTATAACCTTCATTTTACAGATGTGGAAATAGAAGCAAAAAAGGTGAAGTAAATTTTTACTGTTAGTAGGTAGTGGCAGAGTTAGAAAAAATAGAAATTTGATATTTTAGGATGAACTATTATTTAGCAACAAAAATGGGAACTGTAATTACTATGTTTAAACAATGTGTTGAGTATTAGTTTCTGTTTAGAAGAGTAAACATGATTGCTTATTTATTTATACAAGTATTACATACAACATACACTATTTTATACTTTGCTCTTTATAAAGTGACCTTTTAATTTTAAGAATATCTAGATTTGCAGAAAGATTGCAAAAATAGTACAGAGAGTTCTCACCTACCCTTTGCCTGACTTTCCGCAAGGTTAATATCTTACATTACAATGGTGCACTTGTCAAAACCATGGAATTAACATTGGTACATTACTATTAACTAAAATCCAGACTTTATTTGGATTTTGCCAGTTTTTCCACTAATGCTCTTTGTCTATTCCAGGGTCTAGTCCAAAGACTACCAAATCTTAAGTGAACAAAAAGCCTTGGCGATGATGTAAAAGTTTGTTTGCTAATGGAATAAAGATTTGATATTAGGGCAGTGTAATTATAGGTGATATTTTTTCCTATGTTTAAAGCTTTAACACTTTTGTTACATTAACTATTTAGGAGATGTTATTATTGGAAGCCTCCTGTACTGTGAGAGGCTGGCATTGTCCAACTCAAACCAAGTTGTGGACTGGAAGAAGCACAAATTATCTGCTGGACCCATGGTATGAGGGAAAAGCATGTGTGAGTATGTGTTGAGGAGTGTAGGTGATGGGAGAGCTGGTCCACCGTTTGTCACTAAGGAGGAACAGGAAGTGGCAGGGGCTGGATGCACCTACATTCTGCCTTGTCAGTCTGTAATCCAGTGATTGGTAAATCTAGAAGTGACTTCAAAGATTTCTTCAAAATTGGCTTCTGAGGTTCTTAGAAAAAACATTTATTAAACATCTACAGTTTTCTAAGCTTTCTGTTGGCTGCCTTACATATACTGTCTCCTAGAATCCTCAAAATAAGATGTCTATATTCCCTTTTTATCTTATTTTATTTATTTCTGAGACAGAGTCTCACTCTCTTGCCCAGGCTGGAGTGCAATGGCATGAACACAGCTTACTGCAGCCTCAACCTCCTGGGCTAAAGTGATCCTCCTGCCTCAGCCTCCCAAAGTGCTGTGATATCAGAAGGGAGTCACAATGCCAGGCCCATATTCCCATTTTAAAATTCAAAAGAGAGGTCAGAGAGGATAAGTGACTTGCCCAAGGACACACAGCTTGTCAGTGACAGAGCAAGGATTTAAACTCAGGTTTTTCTGAGCTTATTGGTTTTTGATGTTCCAAATTACACTTTTTTGACATCTCCTCAAAAAAAGTCTTTTTGGAATTTGACATCAAAGGGAGGTCCTAACATTCTACTGGGCATTTGGCTAAGAGGCCTGAAGGGATACCTAGCGAAAGAATAAGAAGGTTTCAGGAGGCACAGTGGAGTTTTACGTGTGGATGTGTGTTTGCAGAGTTGATGTAGATTTCAATCTCTCACTGCTCTCTCCCTCAGCTGAACAATAATAAGAAATCTTGTGTCATCTGGTTAAAACTAGCATTCTGGAGGTTTTGGAGCGGGGCCAGCATGTGCATGAATGAGCAGGGCTCAGTCAGCCTCCAGGTCCATTCAGGGGTTCCCTTGAAACTGACCAAGTTGAGTTTCCTGAGTTGGATGCTTGGGAAACCTCCAACTTGGGTTTGAGGGTTCACATGTGCATTCATGCACACATACGTGCACATGCATGCACATTCACGCACACACATACATGCACACACACGCACACAATAAATAAAGCAGAATGAAAAAGCTGGAGGCACCCCAGTGTGCCCTATTTACAAACCGCTTACTTCCTTCCGGGTGTTATTTGATTTTCTCCTTCACTGAGAAATGGGGAGACATCAGAATGAGTGATGTGCTGGAGAGAGGCCTCCCAACCATCCCTCAGTCTCCCTCGCCCCCTCGGTCTCTTTCGTGTGACAGGATGCCCTCAATTACTCTCTCTGGGGGGGTCCCAGTCAGAAAGAAGATGGAGCCAACCATCTGTTACCGACTCAGTGAGCAATTTAATTTCCTCTTGTTCCCAGTGAGGAGGATTTCGTAAGTACATAAATTAACGTCAGTCCTGCTTAATCAGAAGCTGGCCGTCTAAAAGGGTGGAGACGGTCAAGCCAGAGACACCCACTGACCAGGTCCTACCAGGAGGACATCTTGCACGCTGGTAGGAAAACCATATGAGAGAAATGTCAGACACAGAAACTTCCTTAGGGATCATCGAATCTGACACCTCTTTTATAACTGAGGAAATCAGAGCCAGAAAGGAAAAACAATCTGTCTAGCTAGGCAGGGCAGAGTTAGGACTTGAACTAAAGAGCCCCAATTCCCAAAATCACTCTTCCCAACACAACACAAGGTAGAACAATGACTTGATTACTCGACCTTGGGTTTGATCTCTAGAGGTAGAATAAGAAAACAATAGTCATGATAACAATGACAACCTCAAGAGCTACACTGTATGTAGCCGGCACTGAGAGAGGCAGACAGTGTGGATTTATTGAGTGGGCTCTGGAGCCAGGCTGCCTGGGTTTAAATCCCAGTTCTGTCACTTACTAGCTGTTGGTCGGAGGGCAAGTTCTTAACCTCTGGGATTTAGAGCAGACATTCTGAGTTCGTGGCATCTATCCCTTCAGATCCCTTCAGTACTTGCCTCTGATCCAGCCCCACTTTCTATGGCCAGCACCTGCATCTTTGTTGCAGGGCTGTGCTTGGGCTTCCAGAACCCACTTTGTCAATGTGCTCTTTGTCAATGTGCAGGCCCAGTCTTCTGGGGGCAGCTTTGAACCAACGACCGACAGATAATGAGGGTATAAATGCCCCAACTCCCTTGCCTCTTGACTGGGATAGTTCCAAGGCACGTGTTTTGCACTGTTTTTCACAGTTTCCCTGAAAGATTAAGCACTAGTTACCCACTGTAGTAGCTGACTTAATCATGCGGTTATTGGCTGGCTTCCCTTTTCTTGATGTTACCCATGCTCTTTGCACCTCTCCAGAAATTATTTCCACTTGAGATCTTGTCTCAGGATCTGTCTCTGGTTGGTTAGTCCAAGATCAGACAGTGCCTCAGCTCTCTCAGCTATAAAACTATGATAATAATAGTTCTTATATCACAGAGTTGTTACGGCTAAATGGCCTAAAATGCAAAGAACAATGCCTGCCACTTAGTGAGAATTCAACAAATATTAGCTATGTGTCTGATAAACACTTATTTCATTATCTCATTAAGTCCATACTGTACATACTATTACTACCATTATACAAATAAGACCATCCAAGCTCAGAGAGGTTAAATACTTCTCCCGAAGACCTGTAGTTGTAAGGAAAATGTCAAGATCCAAACACAAATTCACTTTCAAAGTTCCTTCCATTTTTGCCTTGGCCAGGAGGTTATCCTCAGTACTCCCAGTCTGGGTCAAGGGTCCCTCCTCTTGTGCTCCTGCGACCTCAGCCACAGCATTTGCTTCAGGGTATTAATATGGCCCTCCTGCTCGTTGAACTGTTCCTTTAAGCTATGAGCTAGGCATCTCTGTAAGCTCAGCATCTAGCCCAATGCCCAGCACATAGTAGGTTCTGGTGAGTGCTGAATAAATGACTACACAAATCCAAGCAGTGCGTAAGCTGCAGAGGCAGGCAGAGGGTGAAGCCCGGCATGAAAGTCTGTCTCATGGCCTTCAGATTTCAATTGGAAGCATCTTGGAAATCTTCCCAGGCAATTCTCTTCTCCTCCCACTCCTACTGCAGACAGGATTTGCAAATATGGTTGGATAGGTCTCTTGCGGGGGTTCCACAATTTCATCAAGGTGTCTAGTCCTCCCTAAAATCTTGTCAGGAAGACAAGGATCTCCCAGGTGACCACGTAGAGATAAGCAGGAATCTCATCACAGTAACTGCTCCATGTGAAGTCATGCTGGACTGGCAGAAGCTTCCAAGGACTGTTACAAAATATGAGAAAAAGTAGGCAGGAGATGAAAAGTGGGTTAATGAGGCTGAAAATACAGATCTTCTAATGATAGTGATGGTCTAATCACCCCCAGCTCTTTTGAATGCTTTATACAGACGGGCCTCAACATATTGTTTAAGAATCCACATTCTGGAGTCAACATTGCCTGAGTTTGAATCTTTCTCTGTCACTTACTAGCTGTGTGGTCCTGGACAAATTATTCAGTCTCTCTGTGCCTCATTTGTCTTACTTGTAAAATGGGCATGATACCTACTTTCCTCACAGGATTGCATAAATAAATAGCATGTAAAATGCTGGGGCCAGTGGTCTCGCACAGAGTAAGCAAGTAGGCAATTGCTGGTTTTTACCAGGCACTGAATAACACTTAAAGTAATAAAGAGTGGACTAAGACAATCTCTGTTCTCAAAAAGCTCAGAATCTAGGGTTCAGGTCACTAAACTTTTTTGATTATATACCCCTTCTATAATAAAGAGCTTGAGCATGTTCCTCCAATAAATGTTTCTTTACTGAAGGGAGATGAACAATGAAACCAAGAAGAAGGTACTGAGGAGTACAGAGAAGCAGTATTCAGCCCAGCCCTGGGGGTGGTGACCAGTGGAAGTCATGAAAGGCTTCCTGGAGGAGGTGATACTTGAAGTGAGTTATGTGGGATACATCAGTTAACTGAATAGAGAAGGTGGGAGAGAGCTTTCCAGACAAAGGAAATATCCTGGGCCCAAGATGATAACTGGGTAGTGAAAGGACAGTTTGAGAAATATTGAAAAGTTTGGTGAGGCTATGACGTTGGGTGGGTGGGTGGGTGGGGAACGATATCTCTGCTGCTTGGGATATAGACCTGAATCCTATACAGAACCCATTAGCTCCCAGGCCCTGGCCCCCACCCCCTCGCAGTCCCACCTCATGCCACCCTCCCTACGTCACACTGCCTCGCCCATAGTGACTGTCTTAGGTCCAGTTCTTCCAAACTGGACTCGAAGCCATGGATTCAGACGCAAGTGGTTTCTGCTCCAAGTATTCTCAGGTGAAAGCGACAGAAGCAGGAGAAAGAACAGGAAGAAGCCAAGTTAGAGGGTGATTTAGGTGGAGTTTCAGACTCAACTTAATCCAGCAGGAAGCTCTGGTGTAGAACTAACATCCCAGACTTTGTCCTGTGTTCTTTCACACTAGCCAGACACTGGCACTGGACACCTGAGGAGCATGTGAATGTCCAGACACTGCTGGCTCTCTGTACACGTGTGGTGTCTCCAGGGCCCCGGGCAAGCCTCTGAAGGTCACAGGAGTAAGTGAGCTGCTAGCAGCAAACATAAGCAGGAGGGATCCCAGAACGTGAGGGCAGGGGCGGAGTCGAGGAAACAAATAGTGCCCAGCATGCTGGCCTTCTTTTAGTTCACTGAATGCTCCCAGCTGTCTGCTTCCTACCTGAGGCCCTTCGTACCTGCTGCACAACTGCCCGGAACCCTCTCTAGCCCATTTCATATGGCTAACTTCTCTCATCCTTTCCATCACAGCTAAATGCCATTTCCCCAGAGAAGCAGTCTGACCCTCAAGACTTGATTAGGCCCATCTATTATTTGTTCTCAATGCAACCTACATTTTCCTGCCTGCGACTTCATAGCAAATTGTAAGTAATTATGTATGTAATTAGTCCCCATGTATTAGGCAGAATTCTGTCATATGCAAATGACAGAAAACTCAAACTAGCTGGAACGAAAAGAGTGGAATGTCTTGGGTAGCTGGAAAGGGTGTGAGTGCGACTCAGAATGGAAGGACAGACGGATTGCAGCCACCGGGGCCTCAGGGAGAGGACAGGGTCTCCACACAGTCAGATTCTTTCTCTCTCCTCATCTCTGAGGTTTGCTTGACCTCCTCTGCTAATACTGCACATATGGAGGGAACATGGTCACTGGCATCTCCAGGTCCACACCTCACAGCTGCTGGAAAGGTGTGATCCCCCTGCATGAGTCAAATACCCACCCACAGAACTGTCTCCACCTAGGACGTGGAGATGGGCTACTGTGAATGGCTGGGCCGTGGTCATGTGCTCACCCTGCTCAGCACTGCCACTGAGAGGGCCCTCAGTGTCACATGACCTGGAAGGGCAGTGCTACTCCTCAAAGGATGTGTTAGGGTGCGGCAGGCCCACAACATTTGTATCTTTTTTAATGCTATATCCCCCACAAATACTTACAGATATTTTCTACTAGGTGTCAGCCACTGTTCTAGGTAGTAGAGGATATGAAAGTAAAATCTAAGTTCTTGCTTGCATTAGAGCTTATACTGGAATGGGGGAAGACAGAAAGCAAGCATGTTAATAATCACAAATGTCTCAGGTGGTGATATGTGCTCTGGAGAAGAACAAAACCGGGTACAGAGGGTGGGGGATGGTGAAGGGACACTATATTCCGCAGCATGGTTAGAGATGGCATGTTGAAAGTGGCACAGGCAGTACCAGATGGTGAGGCTCTTCCGTGTTGTTCTGATGGATTGGAACTGAGTCCTCCTGCCCGGCTTTCTCCCTCCTTTTCTTCTCTCCCTTCCTCTGTTCATTCTTTTGCAGTTTTTCTTAAAATGTAGTCTTTAGATTGTATGTATCAGAATACCCACTGGGGGCAGGATACTTGTCAAAAATGCAGGTTCCCAGGCCTCTCCCAAGACCCAGAGATTCAGACTCTCCGAGGTGAGGCCTGAGAATCTGAATCATTAACCAGCTCTCCAGGCGGCTCTTAGGCACATTCACATTTGACAACTATTCTCTGAGGTGGTAATGAGATAAGAGAGGCTCTGAATAGGGAAGAAAACTGATCTCACTTGTGTTTTAGAAAGATAGGTCTGAAATCTACACAGAGGGTGGCTGCAGGCCCAGAGACTGGGCTGTTGTCGAGGTCCCAGAGACCAAGAGAAAACATGTGGCCAGAGGTGCTGGGACAGAGAGAATGTTTAGGTGACAAATGGAAAGGAACTGGTGACTGCTTGAGTGTGGGGATGAAGGAGAAGAAGTGGTTCAAAGGCTTCCTCTGGTCTGACTAGGGTATGTGGGGGTAGCAATACCATTCACCCAAATGGGAAGTGCAAACATCGCTGACACTGCACTTCTTTATTTAAATACTCTACAACCAAGAAGTAATTTTAGAGTCCCATATTAGAGGAGTAGCTTTTGACTACATTGAGCAGTTGGATACAAACGTTCTTAATTGTTTATTTTCTTTCTTATCTTCCTAGTATTTCTACTTTTTTGAGCTTCTGAACCTTTACCCAAAAGGAGTTGGTGTTAACGACTTGTTTTTGTAATCTCTGATATTAGTGTGATTCATTTGCCAAGGGGAGACCATTAAGAAGGAGCCAACTTCATCTCCATGGCATGGAGTGAGAGGTGGGGAATGATACTGAAGAGCTAAGAGATTCAATGCACTAAGAATATGGTGACCAGAACTTCTGGTTGTTCCAACTGGGAATCTTGGGTGAAGTTGGCTGCTCTGTTGGAGAAAGCTCCCCATTCCCACATACCTGTATAGAATCCTGTAGGATAGGGGATATTTCCTTATCTCTCTTCACTCTCCTCCAAAGCTCCAATGGATGTATTCTAGGTACAACTAGCTAATAATTGAGTGTAAGAATTATATTAGATAATGCTTAAAAAATTCTTGGCACTCCATGCCACTCCACTTCATTTCCTCAATGAAGGAGGCTGGGCAGATATTACTAGCCTCCTTCTACACATTCAGAGAAATGAAGTGACTTGCCTGCGATCACAGAGCCAAGATAAAGATCTGGCTTCAAATCTTGGCCAGTTGTATTTTAAAGTTTCTGTGTTTTTCACCACAGAGTAGGTGAGGCTGGGCAAACTGTGAGGACCTCAGTTAAACAGGCTGGTGCTGGGGATGGCTTCTATGCCAGGAGGAAAGATCATGACTAGTCTGAGAAGCTGAAGCAGCAGCCATCTGATCCTCTACTCCATGGTGGCCCTTTCCAGACTACAGACTGTGGTTTCTCTGCTCATCAGCAATCAAATCTAAATTATCTCCGATATTTGTTCAATAACTCAGACGTGCTAAGGTTAGCTGTCTTATAAATTATGGAACAGTTTAACTGAGTTAAGCCTGAGGCATAAATAACAGAGACTCTCCACCCAGTGACAGGGCACAAGGCTGGAGGCAGCAAAAACACAGTAATAGTGACAGAAAAAAGGACTATCTTCCTCTTTTAGGAGAAGCCTGACAGGGAGGAGGAAAGTAGATGAGAAGGGGGCTAGGCAGGAGGGAATTCCAGGACGAGGGGATGACAGAGCAAAGGAAACAGGCCCTGGGGAAGAGGAGGAGCTTTGTGGAGGCAGAAGCTCAGTTTACTGGTGAACATGAAATCATCCTTGGGGGTGTCTGTGGGACGTCCAGTGGAGGTGTCTGATGAGTGCCTGAACACATGGGTTACCGCTTCTCTGTTAAAATGTGGGAAACAGCTATAATGCATAAGATATGAGTGGTAGCTACGACCATGGGGGAAAAACAAGGTCATGGAAAGCATATAGAGTAAGGAAAGAAAAGAAAATTGGTGAGAATGGAACATCAGCAATTGAGTATACAGGAGAAAGATAAGCCAGTCATAGAGACAGAGACAGAAAGGCTAGAATCTGAACAGAAAAAAAGTTCTACCAGAGTTCAGAATCCTGAGGGAGGAGGATGCAGCCATTGCTAGATATGGGGAAATAGACAAAAGCAGAGAAAAAATACCCTGACTGCTCTCCTCCTGCCCACCAATCTCCCATTGGATGAACCCAATCTGAAGTCAACCAGTAAAGGGGTCCCAAGTAATGCAATCCACAAGGCCTGACTCTCAAAGATGCAAGTCCTTGAGGGCATCTGCTATTTCCTACATTCTGGAAATGAGAGTTTTGAGAACATAGGAGTGCTCAGGGAACAATGTCAAATGATACTAAGGCTCCTTCACTGGAAGTCTTTGATGGTTTTGGAGGAAGAAGCTTTGGTAAAATGGTTGGAGCTGAAGCTTGACTGCTGGGTGGGGAGACTGTGGAGACTGTGAAATTAGGTTATTTTTCAGGAAGTTTGAGAAGGAAGTGAGTGAGCTGGGACATGCAGGGGATGCACTTTGTTTAATTTTCTAAATGTGACTCATATCTTTGGGGTGTCAAAGCAACATCTTAATGTTGCAGTGTACCAGGCTGGACTTTGGTTCTTTTCTCCACCTATAACGTTACACACACTGTATTGGTGACGTATCCATTCTAATGGCATTAAATGCCATCTATATGGTGATAAATCCCAAATTTATGTCTCCCACTCAGATCTCTTTCTTAAACCCAAGACTCATAGATATCCTTAACTCAACAAGTCAAAAAGGAATCCTCCATTTTCCTTCTTCCTAAATCAGCTCCATCTGCAGCCTCCTCCATCTCTAGGAAGCAACTTCATCCTTTCTACTTCTCTGCTGTTCTGACATGAAATCATCCTTTTTTTTTTTTTCTTTTTCTCATGTCCTACATCCACGCCCTCAGGAAATCCTGTTGGCTCTACTGTTTATATCCAGAGAGCTACTACTGTATTCACAGAGCTACTACTTCTCACCATCTCTACTATTACTGTAGTCTCAGGCATCATCCTTGCTATTCTTGCTTGGATTATTTCAATAGCCTCTTATGCTAATTCTGCCTTTCCTTGCCCCTTAACGTCTGTTCTCAACACAGTAGTAAGAGTGATCCTTTAGAAATCCAAGTCAGATAATGTCACTTTTCTGATCAAAACCCAACCATGGACCCCATTTCACTCAATCAAAGCCAAAGTTCTTCAGTAGCCTACATGATCTGTGTCCTTATATTTCTCTTTTTGATGTCACCTCTCTTTATACTTGCCCATACTCTACTTCTACCTCATTGGCCTCCTTGCTGTTTTTCAAGAACTCCAAGAAGCTCCCACCTGGGAGCTTTTGCATTGCCTCTCCCTTCTGCTAGAATATTCTTCCTCCAAATATTCATGTGGTTAACTCCCTGCTATGGTTTGAATGTGTCCCCCAAAGTTTATGTGCTAAAAAATTTATACCCAATACAACAATGTGGAGAGGTTGGACCGTTAAGAGGTGATTAGGTCATGAGTGCTCTGCCCTCATAAATGAGTTAATACTATTCTTTCAGGAATGGGTTATTGTGTGAATGGGTTCCTGATTTAAAAAATCAGTTCAGCCTTTTCTCTTTCTCTCTCTCTCTCTCTCCCCCGCCTCCCCCCCTCCACACAGACACAGACAAGCACACACACACACAAACACACACACACACACACACACACTCTCTCTCTCTCTCTCTCTCTCTCTCTCTTATGCATGGACTCTCTTGCCCTTCAGCCTTCTACCATGGGATGTCGCAGCACAAAGTCTCTTGCCAGAAGCTGGTGTCATCTTCTCGGACTTCCCTGCTCCAGAACCATGAGCCAAATAAATTCCTGTTCATTATAAATTTCTCAGTCTGTGGTATTCTGTTATAGCAGCACAAAATGAACTAAGACACCCCCCACTTCTTGAAATCTCTTCTCAAATGTCATCCTCTCAGTGAGACTTACCCTGACCACATTATTTAGAATCACAACCTATCCACCTTCCTCTTTCCCACACTTCTGACCCTCTTACCCTCCCTACTATTTACTCATAGGGCTTTTTGTTAAGAGGGATAGTTAAGACTGCCTGTGTAAAGTACCCACCAAATGTGCAATCCTGCCACCTTCATGAGAGAAGCCCTACAGTCTGGCTGGTGCCCTGGGTGAGAACGAAATAGGGGGGGTGTGGGAGGCCCCTCTTGGCTGCTCAAGCTCTGCTTTCTCACACAGCCTACAACCTCATTATCCACACATGGGAGCACAGGCACTCGCCTCCGGGTACTGTATGAGTCGGCTTGCAAAGAGGAATGCCTGGGAGGCAGACAGGATGCTGAGGCAAAGCTGGCAGCCAGCAGGAGGGGCCAGCCCTCTTCCCTGATGTCGTCACGTGAAGGGGGCTGGGGGGAGGGCTCGCAGAGCAGGAACTCCAGCCATGGAGCCCTGAAAGAAGCCCAGTTCATGTAGGCTCCTCTGTCCATGAGTGGGGAGGGATGATTTAGAGCTCACAGAAAGTGCCCAGACTCCTCCTACCTCCAGGAAAACACTCCTATTATTGGGGCAAAGTGTCAGTTTGGGATGCATTTGTGCCAGACTCTGATTGGGAGAGAGCGAGGTGGTCCTGGTCTTTAGGGAGCTCTTGGTTGGGGCAGGGGGAGGAGTGACAGCAGGCAAGTAAATACTTCCCATTTTGTATTATTAATAAGTTCTATGACCAGATAAGTACAGGCACTACAGAAACACACAAAGAGACCCTGCTCCAGACTTGGCGGGTAGGCCTGGTGGAAGAGGTAACCTCTAATTTGTGTCTTGACTCATTTATTCATTCATTCAACCAGTATTTGTGAGGAATCAGCCATGTGTCAGGAGACATTGTGTCAGGTGCTGGGGATACAATCATGAGTCAAAAAAATTTTTTTTCTTTGATTTTGAGGAACTTAGAGTCTAGGAGAGAAGGCAGATGTAACAAGTACACCAAAAACAATGTAAAATTAAAATGTTTGTGTTAAATGCCATTAAGAAAAATAATAGGAACTTTAGGTGGAGTGTCTAGGGGAGGGTTCCTCCCATCCCTAAGAAAGAGAGATTCACACCAAGAGCTGTAGGGTGCCAAGAAAGCAGCCATGCAAAGGATGGGCATGGAGAGCATTCCAGGCAGAGACCCTGAGATAGGAGGAGCCGGTGGAACCAAGGATGAGTAGGGACAGCCTGGAGACGGCATTCTTGGCATGACATGGCAATGAGTGGGGAGTCCAGGCCCTTCCACATTTGTTCCAAACCCATCGCTCCAGAGCTTCTGAGAAATCTATGTTCAAGCCCTGGTCAGCTTCACACCCATCCTCAGGCCACTGGCCCGTAGTCCCACATGTCAAATCCTCCTAAAGTGGTCACGCTTTCCTCTGAGTTCTCAGCCTGGAGTTGTTCACATCTCATCAGTTCACATCTGTCTCCCCAGCAAGGGGGTCAGGCCTCTGTGTGCAGAGCCCATGGCTTAGACCAGGCAGGTGATCAACAAATGTGTCCAAAGAAGGGAGGGAGGAAGAAAGGAAAGAAAAAAAAAGGGAAGAAGAAGGGAGCTAACTGTTAAACAACAGCATAGATACTTAATACTTGCAAAGGATATATTAAAAAACCTTCGTAAATCTAGATATTTGTAAATATCTGTGTAAAATATATATTTTTGTCACAAAACTTTTTCTTTTTCTTCTTCTTCTCCCTTTTTTTTTTTTTTTTTTTTCCAGATGGAGTCTCGCTCTATTGCCCAGGCTGGAGTGCAGTGGCGTGATCTCGGCTCACTGCAACCTCCACCTCCCGGGTTCAAGCGATTCTCCTGCCTCAGCCTCCCAAGTAGCTGGGACTACAGGCGCCCACCACCACGCCCGGCTAATTTTTGTATTTTTCATAGAGATGGGGTTTCACCATGTTGGCCAGGATGGTCTCAATCTCTTGACATAGTGATCCATCTGCCTCGGCCTCCCAGAGTGCTGGGATTATAGGAACTTTTTCTTTTTAAGTGCCTTTGCTTTCCTAGTCTTCATTGCTTTTTCTTCCCTTCCATCACTGGCATTAGCTCTTGGATTTCTTTTTTTAGGAGCATGATTCACAGAGAAGCCATTTTTGGTACATTTTTAGGAATCACATCATGAGCATTACCTTGTAAACCTCAAAAGCCATGCTGAGATCTGGATGTTGGAGTTCCCAAATCCAGTCACTAGCAAAGCAAATGGTTTTCAAAAGCCAAATTAATGATTCTGCAAAATGACAAATTACTATGTGTCATAGACCTCAGGGATCCCCAGAGAATAGTGAAAACGGAGAATGTTAAAGCCGGGAATGCTAATGGCATCTGCGTTCACCTGTGAGGTGTGAGGGGGCCTCTGGGAAAGACTTGGCAACTAGTTCTTCTCTCCAGATGCGGCTTGCTCTCGCTCACACTGAGCCACAGGTTTAGCTAAGTACTTGGTTACTAAGGAAACCCAAGTTGTCAGTCCTGAGCCATATGGGAATAATAGTGATTTATTTAGGAAAAGCAAGGTTTGTCACTTTAAGCTTTCTGCTACAAAATTGCTTTTTGATTACCTCCCTCCTTATTGCATTGTCTTGTCACAATAAACTACAGAAACAAGTGGCAAGGTTAATCATTATGGGCTCCGTTCTTGTCACTCTCAGGGCCCAGCAAGGTCACAGCTGCAGCCTGAGTGTAGCTGGCAGTCTTCTTCAAACTCCTCTGGAGAAGAGGGTTTCCCAGAGCCTCCTGACTTTACACTGCCCCAGGGCACTTCTGGCGCCACAGAGTTCCTAAAAATCAGCCTTTCCAGTTCTTCTTCTTGTCCTCCTTTTTTAACCTGATATGATCTCTTACATTATGTATTTCAATTTTTCCCTCTAGTCCTCCTAGTTCTGAATGCAACCCATCCTCCAGACCCAATCAAATGCCACTTCTTCTCTGATTGAAGTCCTCCACTCAGGCCCACAGTTTGCACTCTCTGTCAAGACAGCTTATTGAGTAACTATACCAGTGCCCTGCACTATGCTAGACTTTTCACATAAGTTACCTTATTTTGCCTTCACAACCAGCTACAAGTTGGACATTGCTGGATGTGCCCTGGCTTTGTGTCTCACCCAAATTCATATGTTGAATTTGCACTGGCTTTGTGCCCCCTGCAAATTCTAACCCTGAAGTGATAGTATTAGGAGATGGGGCCTTTAGGAGGTGATTAGATCAGGAAGGTGGATCCCTCTTGAATGGGATTAGTGCCCTTATATAAGAGGCCACAGAGAGACCCTCACTCTTTTCTGCCATGTGATGTGACATTGACAAGACCTGGGGGATGCCCTGTGGGGCCTATGAACAAGAAAGTAGATGCTCACCAGATACCAAATTTGCAAGCACCTTGATCTTGGACTTTCCAGCCTCCAGAACTTTGCAAAATAAATTTCTGTGGTTTATAATCTACACTGTTTTGTTATAGCAGCATGAATAGACCAAGACAGTCATCATTACTATATTTGCTTTACACTGAAAGCAAGCGGTGCTCAGGGAGTGGGGTTCCTTGCCCCTGACTATAGTTTCATTAAGTGAAGACACCAAATTGGACCATCCAGCATGGTCAGGCCCTTTCCACTACTCCATGCAGTCTCTCTGCTTTCTCTCTCTCTATCTATAAACTTCCTCCACAGGAAGCCCTTTCTTGGCTGCCTCCCTTACTGTACTGAGAGTTCCCAAAAGGGTGTACTCAAGAGCACTTCTCAGTCTTCATCTGACAGTCCACCAGCAGCCTCTGACACAGGGAAAGGCCTTCCTCTGTTGCCTTCCAGCACATCTCACTGTGATCGTCCTCCCACTGCACTGACTGTCCTGCTCTGTCTCCTTTGCTAGTTTCTCCTCAATTCCTGGACTCCTGCAGGTTGAAGTGCTCTCGAACATAATACTCCATCCTCTTTTCTGTCCCCGCCTGCTCTCTTGATGTTCTCATCCAGTCTTATAACTTTTGTTGCCCTTTATGTCCTGGTGACTCTCCCAACCCCACCACGTACCATTTAAAATTACAAACAATTTTTTTTAGAGACAGAGTCTTGTTATGTTAGTCTTGAACTCCTGTCCTCAAGTGATCCTCCTTCCTTGGCCCCCCAAAGTGCTGGAATTATAAATGTGTGCCTGGCCTCCCTTCTGCCCTTGCACATAGTAATTGTGTACTATATACTTTTACATATAGTCTAATTTCACATATAGTAAACTGTGCAAACATTATAATTTTATGGGTCTTATACTACACGATTACAAAACATATGTAACCATCACCCAGATCAAGATTGAACGTTTCTGTTACTCCAGAAAGTTCCCTTGTGCCCCTTTGTAGTCAGCAGCACCCCTCCCATAGGGGACTCCTTTACAATGAGTTTTGCCTGTTCTTGAATTTCTTGTGTATATTCTTTTTGTGTTATTTATTATCTAATAACTACTTAACTAGACCTTAAAAAATTATGGATAATTTCAAACATGTACAGAAGTATAAAGGATGGTATTATAAATGTACATGCTCTAGCACTCTACTCTCATCAACTTTCCTCTCTTTCCAATAGAGTATTTAGAAGCAAATCCTAAACATAACACTGTTTGAACTATAAATATTTTAATATATTTTTTAAAGATAAGGATTTTTTTATTAAACATAATCACATACCATTATCACACCTAATAAAATGGCAATAGCTTCTCAATGTTATCAAATATCTAGTCAGTGGTATGGTTTGAATTGGGATCCAAATGATGTTTATATATAACATTCAGTTGACATATAGCTCTTTGGTCTCTAAATGTATGGATACCTTTGTTTTATTTTATTGCAATTTATTTGTTGAAGAAACAGGGTTGTTTGTGTTAGGAGTTTGTCACATTCTGGATTTTGTTGACTGTATCCACCTAGTGTCTTTAAACATGTTCCTCTGTCTCCTGTATTTCCTGTAAATTAGTGAGCAGATCTGGAGGCTTGATTGGAGCCAGTTTTTGTATTTTGGCAAAAGTACTTTATAGCTGGTGTCTGATGGGAAACACACTATGTCCAGTTAGTGGCTTTGTGATGCCATTGATGATTACTGCCTAGCATCAATATTTCATCAGGGGTTAACAAAATGGTGATCATCTAACTCTATTATTCTTTCTTAATTTATCAGAATACTTCCCTCATCAACTATTTGATTACCTGGAAGTGCAATTCAAAAAGGAAAGGCAGCTTAAATGCTTAATTATTTTGTCTTACTTCCCAGTTTTTGAATAATGAGTTTATTCTTTAGCATCCTCAAAGGGACCAATGATATATTTTTCAGTTTCATTATGAAGGCATGGATTTGCAAATGTATTATGTGTATGTCTACCCATTGCAGTTAATATTCTTATTGAATGAATTGTCCCATCTTTGGCTGGTGTAAACCTCTTCACGCTGGCTGAGTTGATGACCCTTACATTTTTATCTTTATTTCAGGCCTCTCCCCTGAACTCTAGATTTACATGACCAACTCCCTATCTAACATTTTAAGATAAAGCACCTCGGACTTAATATTTACCAAGTCAAACACTGGATCCCCAAATTCCTGGCACCGAAGACCTCCCAATCTTATTCAGTGGCAACTGCATCTTTCCAGTTGCTTGGACCAGAATCTTGGAACTATCCTTGGCTCTCCTTTTCTTTTCACACCCAAAATCCAGCAGATACTGCTGGCTCTGTTTTCAAAATATATGAACAGTCGAATCACTTTTAACCAGCTGCACTGCTGCCACCCTGAACTAAGCTTTCAGCACCTCTCACCTGAATTAAGTCCATAATCTCCTAACTGTTCCCCTCGACTCCACTCTTTCTCCCTACAGTCTTCTCAGTAAACAGCCTTGGTGGTGCTGTTCAAATAAAGCCATATCATAAAACTCTTAAGATCAACACTGTCAAGGCCTTCCTATCTCATTCGGAGAAAAAATAAAAGTCCTTAGTATGTCTAGAGGGCCTTAAGGTTCTATCCAACTCTGACAGACCCCACTACCTTGGTCTTAGGTACCCCACCTTTCCCCTCCTCACTCTACTGCATCTCTTCTCATCTCATTCAGATCTTCTCTACCCCACACCACCTTACTTGCATAACCCTAACCACACCCCTGCCTGCCTCCAATCCACAGTACCTTCCTCACTGCACTCTACTCCACCCTACTCCACCACACTCCATGTACACTGGTCTCCCTCTAGCTTCTTGACCGCTCCTGGCACGTGCTCAATTCAGAGCCTTTGCACTTGCTGTTCCTCTTCCCAGAAATATCCAAAAGGTGAATATGCCCTCACCTCTTTCAATGTCTTGCTCAAACCTTTTCTTTGCAGTGAGGCCTTTCCTAGCAACCCTTTTAAAAATTGCAATCCTCCCACTCCAGCAGTCCTGATTCCTCCCTGACTTAATTTTTTTCCATAGCACTTATCACCATGTAATAGAGTATAGATTTTACTCATTTATTTTTTAATTTTATTTTGAATTATGTTCACTGTCAGATCTTTAGGCCCTAAATAGAGTCTGGAAGATAATATGCATTCAATACAAGTGTGCTCACTGCAGGAATACAAGAAGGTGTCTGTTTCTCTGTCTCTCTCTGGTAGAATGTAATCTCCACAAGGGCAGGGGTTCATTTCTTTGGTTTCCTGCCTTTTTTCCTGCCTTTGGACTTGAATTGAAACAGTAGCCCTTTCTGGATTGTGAACAAACTGGCCATCAGCCTAGAACCACGCCATTGGCTCCCCTGGATCTCCAGCTTGTTGACTGCAGATCCTGGAATTTGTCAAGCTCCAAAATTGCATGAGCCAATACCTGGTTCCTACACCTGGTATGTAGTAGGTACTTAATAAATATCTGCTGAATGACTCTCAGTCTTCAGCATAGTGTCAAATTCATGGCAGGTGTCCTCAATATGGGTTAACTCTCTTTCTTCCTGTTTCCTGAAGTCCCCTGTCTAAATCCAGGGTGGAGGCCAACACTACCCTGAGCAGTAAGAAGCATGTGGTATGGTAGACAGAGCCCTGGGCATGAGATCAAGAAACTGTCTGAGTCCAAGGCCCACCATTTTACCATGGGGCCCTAGGTATGCCACTTAACTTTTCTAGGCCTCAGTTTTATCACTGCAAAATGGAATAATAATAATCTCTCCAGGAGCAAACTCCCAAGGGTATTAAGGGAAAAAGCAAAGATGTGGCAAAGTGCCTTGCAAACTTTAAGTTCCACTCCTGTACTTTGGACCCTTTCCACTCCCTGTAAGGGCTCTCCCCTTCTTCCATTCCTTCAGCACACAGACAATCATTGTTTTAAAGATCTGTCCTAACCCTACCTTCCACCACCCAGACTATTCTTCTGTACCCCGCACTTTGTGTCTCTTATTTCTCGCCTCCCACTCATCCTCAGGGTTGGGGCCAGAAGGCTTCTCCCCTGCCAATCTGCTTGATTAAATCTAATGGATTCTTTTCAGTGTTGAACTCTGCCATGTTTGACTGTGTTGACCAGGCCTTTGAGAAGGTTTTCTTTCCTTTATTTCAATGATGATACTCTGTTGATTCTTCTTTCACTTTTTAAAACTCCTTCTCACTCTCCATAGTAGTTTTCTTTTCTGCTTATCCTTAAAATACTAAGGATTATTCTGATTCTGTCCCTGGCTCCTTCTCTTTTCATCCTATGCTTGTCCTGTATTTCATCCTATATTTGTCCTTGGCAAGTTCTTTGCCCTAAAGGCTCTAGTTACTGTTTCTCTGCTGACGTCTCTCAGATCTGCATCTAACACTGATGCTCTTCTGAAATTCAGACCCCATAAAACTCTACGGCAGAATGCCAACATGGGCTAGCTTAGGCAAATACTAAGAGAAGGCACTGGCACACAAAGCTAGCCTAGGAACGGGCAGGGAAACAGCTGGACCCTGTGACAGCTAGAATTAGGGATGTGAGCACTGTCAGGACATGGCTTGTCTTTCATGTTGGCTCCATTCTCTCAGTCTGGCTTCAGGACTTTCTGGCAGTCCAGAAAATCTTTAGGCTCACAACTTTTATAAAAAAGAATGAAAGAGGCTCTCTGGACCTGGTTAGAAAATCCTGGTGAAGAATGCAGGGGGGCTTGTCTTGTTTCAAGGGTCTATCTCTTCATGAATTAATCTAGGCAGAACCTCAGACAAAGATATCAGCTTCCATTTAGATCACTTATTTCAAACAATATCTGAAAACAGAGGGGCTGTAGGAAGGGATTCTGGGATATAAAATGACAAATGTCCATTACGGAGCCATATGCTTAATGCTTAGCTATCTACTAGTATCCTATGGAAAACATAGGATTGCCTCCACACATTGCCTTCCAAACTGTGTTCACCCACCCACCCACACCACCTCACCAAATGACATCATCCTTTCAGTGCTCCTCAAAACAGAGGCTTAGAACTCATCATAGATGCCTCCTTCTCCCTCATGCTTAATGTTTGACTGGTCCCCAAGCCCTATTATTTTATTTTTTAAATGCTTCTTGATCCCTCCTCACTCTCTGTCTTTCATCTTCACAGCTATTATTTTAGTTTTGAGCCCCCATTCCTTCATCCCAAAACAATTGTCACAGCTCTTAACTGGTCTCCTTGTCTCCAGTCTTGCTCCCTGTATCGCCTAGGGTTCACTGAAACAAGTCCCATAGAAACAAAAACTACTCTAGGTTTTCCTCGAAAGATATTTAAACAGAGAGAGTATAATTAACGGTAAGGAGTGTGTTTGGACCATGTTCTCCTGGAGGATTGCACTATGTGGGAGCCATCTAGAAAGGTGGGTGCAGATAAAACCGAGAGAATCCCCACAATAGGTGGTGCAAAATGGTTCATTTTATGTGTCAGTTTGACTGGGTCATGGGATGCCCAGATAACTGGTTGTGTTTATGGGTGTGTTTATGATGGTGTTTTTGGAAGAGATTAACATTTGAAATCGGTAGACTGAGAAGGCAGATTGCCCTCCTTACTGTGGGTGGGCCTCATCCACTCAGTTGAAGGCCCAAATAGAATAAAAAGACTGAATAAGAGGAAACTCTTCCTTCCTGACTGCCTTCCAGCTGGAACATTGCCTTTTTTCTGCTTTTGGACTTGAACGAAAATGGTAGCTCTTCCTGGATGTTGAGCAAACTGGCCATCAGCTTGGAACTAAGGCCTCTCCCTCCCCCTTCACCTCTCTGCTGAGACAGAAGACCTCTTCTGGTCCAAGGACATGGCAGAACTCCTTTAGGAGAGACTAGAGAGTTTAGTGGGAGGACTAAATGGGGAATAAATGAAACAAGCCTTGAGAAAAGGAGAAATGCTCTCTCTTAGATCCTTTCCTTGGGGCTGGTATTTATTAGGAGCCTTGCAGGAAATAGTGTTTAACTAAAGAGATTATTTAATAATTGAATTGAATAGAGCTGTGGGCAAGGTTAAACAAGCCAAAAAGCCATGCCGATGCACTCAGGGGTTAGCAACAGTTGAAAGCCATTATTTCCCCTGTGCCTTGCAGCAAAAGAGAAGATGGTGGTGTTACTGGAGCCCACGAAGAAGGTCACCTGGCAGGAGCTGTAGCCATAGAAGGATGCAGACACTGCCAGAAATTCAGTGCTGAAATCTGGAGTAAGTGGGGCAGAAACACCCACTTCTTTCTCCTCTTGCCTTGGATCTTCTGCCAGTGGCATTGACTGATCCATCTGGGAGCTGAAGGATAGGGAACCCTGGTGCTGCTCTGCTTGGAGGTCGGCCTCATGGCAGAAATGGCAGACGGTGCGGTTGGCAAGTGGAGGATAACCAGCACAGAGCTGGGGCTGGGAGAAAAGCCTAAGTCTACCTCCAGTTGGAACTTCCCTCCACCTCTTCCCCTCTCTTGGAGCACAGACAGGATTGCAGAAGGAGGAAATGCCATCCAGCTTAGGTGATCAGCTCTATGCCAGAGGGAGAGGCACTCTCTTTTTTGATATTGGACTTGGCAAGGCTCTTCTTGCTGTGGAAATGATGAGATCTGGAGGTCTAAGACTGGGATGTAGTCAAGGGAATGGCCAAAGGAGCAGTTTATTGCTCAAATTCCTGTCTGGCTTTTAAGCTGAAGGAGCAAAAGAGGTTTCTCAGGCTTTATATGGACAACCAGATAGGGCTCTGGGGCTGAAGACCTGACTAGTAGTGCACATCACATTTTCCTAGAAGGTTATTTGCCTCGGAACAGGGAAGAGGTGGTATGATGGAGAAGGGGGATTGGAACTCAACGGCCATTCTACCTTCCTTCTAGTGTGCTTTTCTGTGCTGCAGCATCTCAAAAGATAAAACTTACCTATCTCAGAGTCTCTTGCAATTGGGGTTCTAGCTGTCTTTGGAGTTTGGCCAATCAGATTTGCTCCTGTTAGATTTAGAAGAAGTGAGAGAAGCCTTGCTTCTGCTGCTTCTGCTGGAAACCATAGTTGCAGAGGCTTGATTTTTTTCTTTTTTTTTGCAGTAGCATTAGCAGAGGCTCCACTGTCCACCAAACAGCATCATGGGTGTTGAGATGGTGGTTGTCAGGCAGCAAGTCAGCTGGTGTGGGTTGTGATAGGTACAATGTGGCCAAGCAGCTGGCAGTAATAATAGTTGCCTCCTGGTGCCACTGCACTCCAGCCTGGGCGACAGAACGTGACTCTGTCTCAAAAAAAAAAAAAAAAAAAATTTGCCTCCTGATAGTGGCAGCTTCCTCATCACATAGCTTCCTGACCGTGACCATGAAGGTGGATTACAGCTGGTGGCTTCTGGATGGTAGACGAGACAGCAGCTCTCTTGGGGCCTGTGATGTGGCTTTGGGAGTTTATTCCTGAACAACCAAACCTTGAACTTGTCCTCAGCACTCAAAACCCTCATGGCCATTTAATCAGTGTAATAAATTCCATTTTTGTCTCAACTAGCTAGGGAGTATATTTTGCCCGCAGCTGGATGTTAAATAAAAGAAGTGTCCACAGCAATACTAATACTAGATAACATGGAGTGCTTACTATGTGCCAAGTACTCCAAGCACGTACCATGAATTATTTCTTCATTCAATTCTCGTGACAACCCTGTAAGTTAGGCGTGATATTATATTAACTCTCAGGTTGTAAATCTGAGGTCCACAGAGATTCAGTAACTTGCCCAACATCACCAGATTTCAAACGGTGGGAATAGGTATGAAATGCGTTCTGGTTCTAGTGCCAAGGTTATTTAACCCTTGTTCCATGAGGCAAGTAGGCTGAGGATTCTGGAATCCCAGAACTCAGACATCATATCCTTTTTTTTTTTTGACGTCTACTTAATAGCACCCAAAGAGAAAACAGGGGTCTAGAGACATTGTGCATCTCGTACAAGGTCATGTGCCTAGTAAGTGGCTGAGCTGGGATTCAAACATGTCTCCTTGACTTCAAAACCTATACTACTGCCCACTTCACAATCTGTTGCTGCGGCCTCATGACAGCCCTTCAAATCTGAGAAGACCGCTCTCTTATCTCTGCGACTTCTCTTCTGCAAGTTAAGCATGCTGAGGACTCTCAAGCTGCACCTCTGAGTCCTCTCTCCACCAGGTTGCCCTCCCCTCGTTTGTGAATGTCCCTCTTCAAGTATGTCATCTGGGACAGATCACAGAACTCTCTGTGTGGTCTGACAAGCCCAGCAAAACCCCCAGCATGAAAGCTCTTACTCTCCATCAGACTCCTGAAATTGAGAGGAACACATCTCTCTCCTCCTGCTACCTTCCCCGAAATGTCTTTCCCATGGGACCCCTTCACTTTTCCTCTAAAGAAGATGTGACATATATATTTCTACACAAATTAAGAACTTTTTTTTCTGCCAGTCCATTTTAAGGAGCAGGGTGTGTTCAGTCTCCCTTCTGCTCCAGAGCTGGAGTGGACTTTTGAGGAGTTATTTATGGACAGAATGCTAATTACTTAACTACAAATATGTAAATACTTTGAGAATAAATTCATCACAATATATTAGGCATCACATTGTAATTAAGCCCAATTAGGTATTATTAGCAGTATTAATATCATGTTGCTCGTGCCTGTCCCTAATGAATATATTAACCCAGCCTTGCTGCCACCATCCATGTGGGTGCATTACGATGATGGTGATAATAGACACATAATTAGAGCATTACGGCTTTGCTTGCAAATTGTGATGAGAAATAAGTCAATGTCTTTGGAATCTGAATGACAGCTGTGGATATGTTAGAGGTGGCCTGGGGGTTGTGTGATCTGGAAATAAGAGTTAACATCTTGGCATCTCAGTTTGTAGCCCTTGAAAGAGAAAGGCTTCTGGTTTTCTTTCATGCATTAGGGTAAATACAATGGAAATGAGGCCTGGTGCAGGGAGCCACTAGGAAAGCACTTGGCATACCAGGGAGCTGCGTTTATTGTTCCAAATCACTGCAGAGGAGAGCAGTTAGATTTGGACCATGGAAACAGAAGGGGAGTGGAAGGTGAGGTGAGATACAAGCTTGCAGAAGGTCAAAGTCCAAGGTAGAGGGAAGAAAATGACCATCTGCTCTCTCTGTCCCAACAATAACCCTACCAGGTGGGTTCCAAAGCCTGGATCATGCAAACTAGGAAACATCTCAGAAGTGTTAAGTAAAGGTACCCAAGGTCACACAGAGTCAGGATTTGGACTCAGTTTGTCTGACAATAGGTTATAAAAGAGTACAAGGCAAGGCGCTAAAAAATGTAGAGACAAGCAGATGTGTGATGTGGCAAGTATTTATTCAGTAAGCTTGTAGTGAGCATTGTCTGTGAACCGTTGCTCTGAGTTAGGTGGTTTCTACATATACACTCATGCAAAATACATGCACAATATTTACCTCCAGAAGGATGAGAGAAAGACCTGATGGGCCAAGGGAGAACAAAGGGAATCATACAGTTAAATCTTTTACCCATGACTTGGGTCTGGGTTGGGAGATCTTTGGTGTTATATAGCCAAATTTTGAGTATTGATGGTGAGGTGGGTTGTGAATTCTGATTTAGAGAATATTACTGGAGCCAGCAAGATGGCTGTGGCTAAGAGGGAAAGAACCTAGCAAGAAAGGTAGATGGGACAGCTGTGAAATTCTTTTCTGTGAAATTCTTTTAACAACAACAACAACAAAATTGTTGACTATAAAAAGTGGAAGATGTCTTAGATATAATCCACTGTGTTCCTTTGACTAATGAAATAACTCTCAGAGTGTCAATTAGGGTCCTGAGAGTAAAACCACTCCAGGAATGTCTTTCTATACAGGAAATGATTACATAGGAAATGGTAAAACTGAGAAGCCAAATGGGATGGAGAGGCAACCTACAGATTGGCAAAAGTAGGTAGCTGCTACTTTCCTTAGGGCTGGAGGGCCAATAGGAGGAGGTGTCATTATCACAGGCCAGAAGCCAGGCCCATCTAATAGGAGCTAGAATCTTAGGACCTTGGAAACTTTAGAATTCTGGGAACCCAGCAAGATCTGGAGCTGTGGTGCATACACAGTGGCTACGAATACAGAAGCACCTGAGACACAGTGGATACAAGACAGCACCTGAGGGACAGCAAGAGAAGAAAAACACCCTGGCTTCTCCCTTTCTCCCACTGTCCAGTCCTCAAATTGGGCGTTTGAATGGCTACACCTACGGGGAAGCTGGTAGGCAAAGGAGCCAGTAGGTCAGGAAGTGTAGTTCCTGACATACAGAAAGGAGCAGAGAGAGATGTGAGAGGAGCCTGACAGTGTAAGGGAAGAGTTGGGAATAGAGTTCAGGTTTCTTGACTTCCAGTAAAGTATACTTCACATTGAAATGAGAGTGGTTTATTCATTAGGAGAGATTCTCATTAAGAGGTAATAGGAAAACAATGGTGATGGATGATGGTCATAGCTTATATTTTCATATCTCCTTACAGTTTACCAGGAACTTTCCCATAAAATATTTTATTTAATCATTTCAAATATTGTGAGATAAACACCATTAGTCCTATTGTATAGACAAGGAAATGGAAGGTAAGAGAGGCTTAGAGAGTCTTATGGTTTCATACTTCTTAAGTTGCAGAACTAGGATTTGACCCTAGATGTATCTTACTCCAAGTACAAGGAACTCATGGGGAGGTTGGAGGAGATGCTAAGACCCAGGGGCCTCTGAGTTTTCATAAACATGGGGCTGGAAGCTGAGCTGGTAAAGATAAATACACACTGCCCTTCTGCCAAAGGAAGCTTTCTGCAAGGCTGATCCGATAGGCTCCTCTAATTTACATGGGGCCAGGAGGGTGCTGGAGGCCCCAGGGCTGATGTGCTGGCTCTTAAGAATTCACCCTAACATCTATCTCCATAATATACTGCAATTTTCAAAGAATGATCACAAAGAATGACATTTCAGTTTTTCCACCATCCCTAGAGGTAAAAAGACTGGGGGCAATTGTCCCTTTTTGATAGATGGTGGAACAGGCTCAGAAAGATGAAATGACTTATCTTAGCCTCCTCACTTAATATCCCTCTTGCAACTTATGTTCAGCTAAACTTTTTTCTACTCTCCAAACAAATAACACCCATCATGACTTTGCATTTGCTCTTTCCTCTGCCTAGAATAAACTCCTCCCCAAAGAACCTCCCCAGGTTGAGTTTGTTGATTCCTCCTCCAACCCCCATAACAATTTTTTGTTGCCTCTCAGTTTTTTCCTGTATTGGTAGGTGGTTATTTGCTCACTTATCAATCTCCTGTAGCAGACTGGGAACCCTTTAATGACAAAAACTAGGTCTTAATCATCTCTGTCTCCCTACACTTTGCTGAATGCTGAATAAATGAATGAATGCATACATACATATATGTATAACTGATTCTCAAAGCCAGTTCTCCTGGGTCCTTCCTGCCACTGGTCTGTGTACTGAGGAGGCACTTTTGCAAGCAGAGGAGAAAGTCATTGACCAAGGAGTGTGATCGAGGCTGACATAATGGATTTTATAGAATTATAAGGCTTTTTCTCCTATTTTAACAAGAGAGATCATGCAGGGAATTAAATTCTCTTGCTTAAGAGAAAAAATATTTAGTTTAGCTGAATTAGCAATTCCTGATAAATTAGACTAAAGGGCTTTCTTTGAACATGGCAACTCTTGGACTTTCTATTTTGCAGCAAAGCTATAAGAGAGGGTGAGAGAATAGGGAAGGGGCAGAGGGTCTCAGGCACAGGAGAGAGTTGCGGAATTGCACAGTGCCTTGGTGGGGCAGGGTATTGGGCTGGGAGGCTCACTGCAGCTGAGCTCAGTCAGCCAGAACTGAGTCTTCCCTTCCAATAGAGTGAAGGGATCACCTAGTGTTTCTAGGTGGGGTCCAGCCCTGAGAAGTGTAAGAGCAAGAGTTGAAGGGATTGTGATAGTTTCATTGTGTGAGAGAACCCAGCACTTTCACTCTTCTCTCATTTTATAGTTGAGGAAATAGGGGCTTAAAGTGGCAGGACAGTTCCCTCAAGGGTGCAGTGTGTCAGTGTCAGAGCAGAACTCACCCATTGCTTGCTACTTTCCTCATTTAACATCTAAGCATTTTCCTGTGCCTAGGCCACTGCACTAAGTGGCATCTGTGGCTCTTGCCTTCCCAGGACCTATTTTTTCCACCTAGCAGCAGCACTTCAATTGATTCATGGTTACATAGGAAGTGGAAAAGCTGAGAAGCCAAATGGGATGGAGAGGCAACCTATAGACTGGCAAAAGCAGGTAGCTGCTACTTTCCTTAGGGCTGGAGGGACAACAGGAGGAGGAAGAGTTAGCCTTTCTGCACTGGATATTGCCTCTTGCTGGGTCTGTCAATCAACATGCCCTCCCATCCTCCAACCACTCCCGGCCGTGGGGCCAGCTAGTGAGCCAAACTAGGCAACCAGATTCTCTTCCCTTGGCATTTGGGGTGTTGTGACATGATGACAGAAAAGCATAACAGACCAGGCATCCAAGAGGCAGGGGCCACCTTTGCACCCTCCTCCCAAGATCCCGCCCCTGGTTCTTTCCCAGGTCTGATGCATCAACCCTTCCTTAGAGCCTGTGAGTATTCTCATGTCCTTCTTCACTTGGTTAAGATAACCACAGCTGGTTTTTATTGGTTGTGACCAAAGACTCCTAAGTGGTCCACTCTCCCAACCAGTATCTGTGAGAACAGCCATAAGGCAAGAAGAGACGGGAGGATGCCCTCCCATGTGTACAGCCCTTTACTAAGTGCTTTCCAATACATTTGTCAAGTCAATAGGAATTTTAAAATTTGCTAGTAGCCACATTAAAAAAGTGAAAAAGAAAGGGTGACATTCATTTCAAAACTGCATTTTATTTAACTCAATATCTTCAAATGACTCTAATTTTGACATGTAACCAGGATAAAAATGATTAGTGAGATACCTTACATTCTTTTTTTAATACTAAGTCTTTGAGATCCTGTATTTTACAGTCTGATGTTTCAATTTGCATGCTACATCTTCCACAGAAACTCTTGAGGTCATGAAGGTAGGGTCTTCATAATAGGATTAGTGGCCTTATAAGCAGAGGAAGATCTGTCCCTCTGTCTCTCTCTCTGAATGCATGCACCATGTGAGAACACAGCAAGAAGGTGGCCACCTATATTAAGATTTTATAAAATAGAGACAGAAAAAAAAGTAGATTCATACACCCAAATTGTAAATACTTGGAAGTTTTCCAATAACCAACTTGAGTATTAGTTTTAAAACTTACATTTAACTTGACTAAAATGAAATAAAATTAAGATTCATTTTTTTGGTTGCACTAGCCACATTTCAAGTGCTCATAGCTGCCTGTAGTTAATGGCTACTGTATTGGACAGCATGGCCTTTTACAATTACCACACCTTTATCACATCCCATATCTCATGGGAGCCTTCCAACTATAAGAGAAGAATCATAACTATTATTAATACTCTTGCTATCACCATCATCATTAGCATTATTATACCCAGTCTCCAAATGGAAAAACGTAGGTTCAAAGGTATTAAATAACTTTCTTTGGGGTCATGCAGCTGGGAAGGGATAGGTTCAGAGCTTGAACCCTGGTCTGTGTGACTAGCACTGCCAGGCCAGAGGCTCTTGGGTGATCCACATGGAGATGGCCTTGGATCAGAGTACAATTGAGGCTCTGACATGAGTATGCTATGTGAGCTGGGACACACTGCTTGTCTTCTCTAAGATGCATTTCCTTATCTGTAAAACAAGAGGATGGGATTGCATCCTCTTTGTTACTTTAGCGTTCTACCTTTCTCTGAGGGGATATGGGCAAAAAACAGAAGGTAATAGAAGGTATTGCTTATTGACACTTACCACGTGTCACAAATGGTTCTAAGCACATCACTCGTGTTGACCCTGACAGTCCTCACAGTAACACTATGAGGAGAGGTCTAATTATAACTCTATTTAATGGATTAAGAAATTGAAGCAGAGCGACTTGCTCAAATGCAACATTCAGTTGGTGGCAGAGCTGAGATTAGAACCCAGACAGTCTGGCTGCTGAGGCAGGTGCTTTTTCAGCAGGCAGCAGGGCCCCTGCAATGGAGACTCACTGAGGGCAGAGATGCTGCTATGTTCAGTGCTGTGATCCTAGTGCCTGACACACGGTTGACACTCTATAATAGTTGAATGAACAAACAAATGAATGGGTAGGGAGGAAGAGAAATTCCATGCTATGTAAATATAGTTCTCAAAGCTTTTGGTCTCTAAGTACAAGTGGGTATTTGGTATTCGAAATAAATAAACTTCTGAATGCATACATATTTTTGGCTGAAGTGAGGTGTGATTTCTGTGTCCACTTAATCCATTTTTGTCTCCTTTCTAGGATATGCATGTATCCCCAAGGGCAGCCAGGGACTTTGAAAGAGCCCAGTGGAACCTACACCTAAGTGGAAATGGAATTCTTTCCTTTTATTAAAACCTTCAGTAAATCGTAAAAGTTGTGATGCCAAGTGTCTTAGTCTGCACAAGCTGCTATAACCAAATATCATAGTCTGGGTGGCTTAAAGCCAAATTTATTTCTCACAGTTCTGGAGGCGGGAAGTGTGAGATCAGCGTGACAGCATGTTCTGGTTCTGGTGAGGACTCTTCTTCTGGCTTGCAGGTGGCCACCTTCTTGCTATGTTCTCACATGGTGCATGCATTCAGAGAGAGAGAGAGGGGGACAGATCTTCCTCTTCCTATAAGGCCACTAATCCTATTATGAAGGCCCAACCTTCCTGACCTCAGCTAATCTTAATTACCTCCCAAAGGCCCCATCACCAGACACCATCACATAGGGGTTAAGGCTTCAACAGTTAAATTTGGGAGAAGACACTATTCAGTCCATAATACCAAGTATTACAGCCCACGCAACCTTGTGACACATTTGTTGTTACCCAAATATTTTCTATTATTAAAATTTTTATTTTTTCAGACACTTCGTTTCCTTAACCGAGATCTTTGGCTGTAAATAGCTAAGATTTTACCATATCATGGAATAGCAAGTAAGCTTAGAATTAAAAGACCTTTTCTTTCTTTTTATTTTTTTTTAATTTTTTTGCTTTCTACTTGCTGTGTGACCTTGTGCAAGTTTCTTCACTTCTCTGCTCACCCCCGACTTTTTTTCTCATCTTTAAAATTAAAGGAAGGTCTAAAAGCTTCTCAATATGTCCTTCTATAATGCTATGTTTTCCCTCATACCTAGTCATAGAAAAAAAAACATTATTGCTTACATATGGTTCTTTGAATATGTTTCCCATTGATTCATTCATTCATTCAAGAAACATGAAACACTTACTGTATGTCAGGCATTATTCTAGGCATTGGGAATGGAGAAATAAACACTAAACAAAATACATTCTTTGCATTCGAGTTGCTTCAGTCTACATGGAGACACACAGAATAAAACAGGCAATTACAGCACAGTGGGGTGAGTCCTATGCTGGAAGATGCTGAAAGAGCACATATCAGTGGTAACTAACATCAGTTTTGGAGTCAGAAAAGTCTTTTAGAGGATGATGGTACCTGAGCTGCTTCTGCAGGATGAGTTAGGTGAGGATGTGAGAGGAAAGTACTGTAGCCCTAGTTTGGGGACTGGGCCATTGAGTGGATGATGACACTTTTCATCAAGATGGGGAATGCAATAACAGTCATACATCACATTAGAGTGTTTCATCAGTGACAGAACACATGTGTGACAGTGGTTCCATAAGGTTATAATGTCATATTTTTGCTGTGCTTTTCCTATATTTAGATATGTTTAGATACTGAAATACTTACCACTGTATTACAATTGCCTATAGTATTCAGTACTATGCTGTCCAGGTTAGTAGCTTAGAAGCAATATGCTACACCATATACTCTAGGTGTGTAGTAAGCTATACCATCTAGGGTTGCATTAAGTACACTCTATGATGTTCACAGAATGACAAAATTGCCTAATGATGCAGTTCTCAGAAGGTATCCCTGTTGTCGAGAGACACATGACTCTATAGAGGTCCTGCAATTCTGTATAGTCGAGGGAATAGGTTCTTAGCAGCTCTGACTCTGTTCTGTTTAGGGGGTGTTTCCATTCCATTTAGCTTCAGAATATGTTCTATATTAAATACCATCAGTGTAATTACAGAATATGATACACTGTAATTATGCTCTATAATTACATTTTCTTCCATTAGCAGCATGGCATTCTCACTCAACGCAGACCCCCAGCACCCTGGACTGTTAGCATGGTTGGGACTGCACAAGCCACCAGGAGTAGACACAGATCTCCCTTTCCCAGCTGCTGTCAGATCATATAGTGGGAATCACAGGGAGACAGTGCAGTTTGATGGATAAGAGCATGGGCTTTGGGAGAAGGTCACCCAAGTTTGAATGATGACATTACCCCTCTTTATCTGCGTGGTTTAGGCATGTTACTTAACATTTCTGTGCCTCAGTTTCTCTCTGGTCAGAAAGAGGATAATAGAGCATACCTCATAGAGTTGTTTTTAAGAATAAGTGAGATAATTAATGTAATTACCTAGCATGGTGCCTGCTGAATTTAAGCCCTCAATAAAAGGTTATACTGATGAGAAGCGGTGACAAAAGGGGGACCCTGTTCGTCTTCAGACCCTTGGACTAACATCTTGCCTTCACTGACATGAGGGAGATACTAATAGGCCAAGTGCTAAGCTATTAGGAATGATATTGTCACAGAATCATAGACTGTTCCTTAACTCACCTAATGCTCTCCTCCCTGTCCTCATTTTATAAATGATGTCCAGGGACGATCGCCAGCTTGCCGAATAGATCATTACTCTCAGAGATGTCTTTAACCCAGAAATTCGGGACTCCTTACCCCTTGATCAGTGCTAGGGACTAAAGCTTTAACTTATTTAAATAGGTCTCTCTTCATTTTACAAAGCATGTAACATTCATTCTCTTATTCCAGCCTAAAATGACTTTAACAAATATTATCCCTGTTTTATAGATGAAGTAAAGAAGTATAGAAACTGAGTCTAGGGGAGATAAGTGGCTTTTCCAAGGATGCTCATTAAGAAACATTAGAACTGGGGTTTGAATCCTCCTGTCCAGTGCTCTTTCTTCACATTCCTTTTCTTGTTTTCTATAGACATTTATTGGGCAATTGCTCTGTAGTGGACATTGTAATACTCACCATGGAGGATACAGTGCTTCTTACAAAGAGTTTCCCTTTCAGATGCTAGACCAGACTTATGTACCAAATTCTAACCCGGAAGGTAGATTGTGACAAATGCCATTTGGCTACTGCAATCCTGAGTGTCCACGATTAAAAACAATGTGGTGGGCGGGCGGAGGCCTTTGCTTCTGGCTGCAATCGTCATGGAAGAGTTGGTAACTGCACTAAGCTAAAACTGGTGATGAACAGGCCAGAAGTGAATGAGTCAGAATCCTTTTTGAAGTGACAAAAACCCAACTCAAAGCAGCTTAAGAAACAAACAAAAGAGAGAGAACTTACTGGGTTACATAACTGAGAAGTCCAGGAATAATACAGCTGTTCTTGGCAGGCCTCCATCCAGGAGCTCAGGTGAGATTATCTTGCCTCTGTCTCTCTTGCCATCTTATGGTTCTGCTTTTCCCTACTTAGCACTGTTCCTCAGAATGACTCCTTTCTGGGGCTGGAAAGACAGTCTGGCAGTCCCAACTCATGTCTTCCCAGCTGAGCAACACCAAAGGAATGCTAGTTCCAACAGAAAAAGATAAGGGAGGACTCTGGGTGGCTCAGTGTGGGTTATGTGCCCATCCCTGAACCCATTACTATGGTCAGAGAATGGGTTATTCTTTGTGCAACATAGCCTGAAAGTGGGTTCAGATCATGGTGAGCTCACCTGAATCACATGGAATGGGTGTCCTATAGAAAAGAGGGATTCTGCTACCTCCAAAAATGGTATGAGAAACTACAAATCCTAAGAGCCCACTGTAGGAAACGTTCCTTGGTGGGGAAACAGCAAAAGCAAAGTGTACAAAATAGAGAGATAAATTTGCAAAAGTAAATTAGGGCCAACTTGCAGAAGCCTGTAACTACCGTGCTGGGAGTTCAGACAGAAAGGATTTTCCATAATGGAGCTCTCTGAAAAGGAAGTGGCTAGGTCATATCCCTTCCTTTCCCTCTCTACTCCAGCTATGCTGAACTCTTATAATTCTTTGAACAGTATACACTTTCTCTTTATTTCAGGATAGTGTCTGCAATTCCATTTCCTCATACTAAAGTAGTTCTCTTTCTCTTTGCTTGGACAACTCCTCTTTGGCTATAATGTCTCACTTAGAGGTCACTGCCTCTAGGAAGCCTTCCCTGACCACCACCCCAAATGGATTAGAGGCTCCCACAGCATTCTGTACACTTACTTCATTGCATTGTAGATGTCTGTTTACTTGCGTATATCACTGGCTTCTATGTATAAATGCTTGTAATATGCCAGCTTCAAAGTATTATTAGTTCTATTTTCCATATGAGGAAATTGAGCCACAGAAAGGGTATGTGCTTGCCCAGGGTGTTGCAGCGACTAGATAATGGAGTTGGAATTTGAACTTAGGCAATCTGATTTTAGAACTTTCTCTTAACTACTATGTTTAAGTATGTGATATTCAGGATTTTGTTCCCAGGCTTAACATCATGGCTGTCCAGTAAATATCTGTTGTTCAGATAAAAGAAATTAAGTGAATAAAGGAATGAATGGAATAAAAAAGAGTAATGAGATCCCCATCACTGGAGTTATTCATGCAGAGGCCTGAGGGATATCACTGTGGTAGAGCACATTATTGCACAGTACAGAGAATTAAATTAGATGGTCTCCAAGTTTCCTACCAACTCTGTAATTTTTCCCTTTAAGCAAAAGGGAGACCAAAGGCTTTTGAGCAATAAAGAGACCCAGTCACACTTGTGCTTTGGGGAAATAACTCTGGCAGTGTCATGTACGGTGGAGTAAAGCAGACTGCAAATGTTTGGCTAACAGGTTTACCACCACAGTCTATTGGTGGTTATGGGATTGGGAAGGAGGACAGCAGTTCTCCTCCATCATTACTAAGACAATTACTTTAATTCTTGGGCTGTATTTTGACAATTTCAGCCCTTCAAACCTGGGTTACTTCTAAGCGCAGGAATAGACATGAGGCCATACAGTAATTAGGGGGGCATCACAGCATGTTGGAAAGAAACTTGGAATCAGAAGAAGTAGTTTAGATCCTGCTTCTATTACGGGTCTTAGTTTTCTCATCTGGAAAATGGGACTAGTAAGACCTGCTCAGCCTATTTCCAGCCTATTCATGCTGGTGAAATGACATGACGGATGTTAGAGTGTTTTGAAGATATAAAGCACAGGGTGTCTGCATTCAGTGGTAGAAGTCATCGGTTCAGCTCCCTCCCTTCCCATTCCCTTTCCCAGATCCTTCAAGAAAGGGGTGGGTGGGATGCTTGAAAGGCAGAAGAAAGGGCCACATCAGGATGAAGGAGCCATTCCCTAGAATCGTAAATTCTGTCTTAGGACCTTAACAGACTATAAAATTGTTATCTGAAGGCTGGAAGTGATTTATGGAAAAATAAAAACTCCCCCTCCACTGCAGAAAGCATCCTTAAAGATCTTATATATGATTTCATAAAGCCGCATGGCATCTTTTCAATTCCTTCATGGGGCTGGGTGGGCCCAGAGCCCAGCATGCTGATGAAGTGGAGGGGCGGCCGGGGCTGAGAAGGAAAAAAATCCAATTACTCTTGCTCTGGGATAAAGGAATTCTGGGGATTCAAAATCACTGGAGCATGATTGGAATTCTAATAAAACGAGAGGTTTTGTGGGAGGGTGGTGGGGATGGAGGTGGTGTGTGGGGAAGTACAGGTTCTCAAGCCGGCTATGGGAATGGCTCCAAAACACTTTGTCATCAAACCAGTGCTTTGCTGCCTGTAATTTTCCACAGTACGGGATTGTTTGTGGCCAGTTGGAGACAAAATTGGGAAGGAAGTAAAGTTCCAAAGTTCCCAGGTCCCTTGGCTAAACAGGACCCTCAGTGAGAGAAATCCTAGCCAGTGCTCAGTGTCCTTGGCCTCCATCTCTGCCCTTTAAAACTAGGAACCTTTTAATGCAAGGCCTACAAGGCACCTTAATGATCATATAACTCCATGGAATAAAAATGAGGTCTAGAGAGGAGAAGGATGGTCCCAAGTCCACGTAACTGGGAATAGAATCATGAGATGTTACATCCAGAAACGTAGAAGTCATCAGTGTAATATCCCTATTCGCAGAAATCACTACCTCATCTCAGACAAATGATTTTCCGGCCTCTGTTTGGATGCATATAACAACAGAGAGCTCACTGCTTCCTGGGACAGCCCACTGTGTTTTCAGACAGCGATGCTGCTTGGCTAGTGTTTCCTTACCTAAAGCTGAAAATGGCCTCTGCATAACGTCCTGGGGGAAGGGTGGCATAGTGGAAAGAACCAGGATCCTCAATTCTTTTTTTGTTTATTTTTTTGAGCAGAAGTGCTCTATTACTTTGTGCATATCACTTCACCTGTATGAGGTTCAATTTTCTCATCTGTGCAAAGGGGATTATGATAGTAAATGCCTCCTTGGAATGGTGTAAGAATTCAATGAGAATTCTTAGAAAGCCTTTAGATTTAAACAGACCAAATGCTCAACGTTATCACTTATCACCTGAAAAATGGGGATACTTAACAGAGTTTTTGTGGATATTCCATGACATACTTTATATAAAGCACCAAGGAGATGCTGTATATAGAGTACATAGCTGAGAAAAACGTTTTCTTTCTTGGCATTGTCTCCCTTTTCACGTGATCACCTCTGTGTGAGTCTTACCTTTGACTTAAACCTCAAGTTTCCTGAAGACAGGATTTGTATCTAATTCATCTCTTGTGTTCCCCCCAGAACTTTTTTTGTGTGTATCTGGGACTTCTATGTGTGTTGAATGAATGCAGGATGTTCTTGTGTAAATCTCTTCAGTCCCAGGGACCCACATCACCTCTGCATAAAGTCGCCTTCTACCCAGCACAGTTCAGCAGCCCTGTGGGAACTGAGTCTCCACTTGGGTGTTTTGTAATGTCAACAAGAACACGTCTCAGAAAACCTTTTCCTCCTTCTCAAGCATCCACTCCTTCCATCTCCAAGAGTCAAAATTCTTAAATATCCCAGTCTGAGTATTTTTTTCTCTTTTTTCCTGTCTCCACTTCTCAATATAATGTAAATTGAAACCCTCTTTGGTTTTAGTTTCTCCCCTGCTTTCCCACCAATCAGATCTTCCACTTATTCAATCACTTAATACACATTTTGACAGACACTGCCCTGGACACTACGGATAGATCAATGAACACTGGAGAATCCTTGCTCTCCAGTGGAGCTTACGTTGTATCAGAGAGGGGAGAAAATAAATGCAAACAAATAACTTACCATATAATGAAATAACACTTGTTACAAAGGAATGTGTTATTAACTTGGGTCAGAGGACAGCTAGACAGAATGTTCAGGGAAGGCCTGTGTGAGGAAGTATCAACTGAGTTGAGACTTGAATGAGGATTTCATCACCTGAAGATCTGGGGGAAGAATAATCCAGACAAAGAGAAGAGCAGGTGAAAAGGTCCCGAGGTAGAAATGAGCCTCTCTGTCAGATCACTGGGTCTCAAGCATGCATCAGAATCGCCTGGATGGCCTGTTAAACCAGAGTGCTCAGGTTTCCTCTGGAGTTTCTATTCAGTGGGTCTGGAATGGGGCTGGAGAAATGCATGTCTAACTGATTTCAGGCGATGCTGAGGCTGCTGGTCCAGGGAGTACACGTTGAGACCCACCATGTTAGAGAAACAGAGAGTCAGTGTAGTTGGAGCTGAGTGAGTGAGGAGGCAAGTAGTAGGAACCGAGACCAAGAAGCCAGTGCAAGTCAGGTCACATAGGGCTTTGTAAGATGCAGTAAGGAGTTAGGCTTTTCTTTGAAGGGCAGTGGGAAGCCATAGGTTTTTGGAAGGGTTTTTAGTAAGAAAGTGACTTGATTTTTAAAACCTTACTTTGGCTGCTCCATGGAGAGGGTAGATTTCAGGGGACAAGATGGGGAGCAGGGAGGTCTGATAGGAAGATATTGCAGGGTAACAAATGAGAAAGGACAGTGTCTTGGCCCAGAATGGTTGCAGGACAAAGCTGCCTGGACGTGGAGTGTAGCAGTTTCTCAACCTCAGCACTATTGACATGTGGGGCTGGATAATTCTTTGTTGTAGGTGGCTGTCCTTGTGCACTGTGGGATACTTAGCAGCATCCTTGGCTTCTACTCACCAGAGGCCATTAGCACTCCCTTCCAGGTGTGACACCCGAAAATATTTTCAGCATTGCCTGGGGAAAGGGGGCAAATCATTCCTGATATCATCCCTTGGTATTGAAGTTTCATTATCCAGCAAATATCCATCCATGCTAACAAATATCTACATGCTAGGACTGTAGTAGATGCCAGGATAGGGCTATAAACAACACAGACCAAGTCCCCATCATCATGGAGTTTGCAATTCTAGTAGAGATAGAAAAGGGGTGGAAGGGAGACTAAAGGGCTGAGGGGTGCCACGGTGTCTGGGCACTAACCATTCCTTCTCCCAGCTCTGCAGCACAGAAATCTGACAAAGACGGAAGTCTTCCTGAAGGGTGGGGCTAGGGAGAAGACAAAGACAAAGTCCTCTCTAGCAGGTAGGGGATAAGAAAGAGGTGGGGGTGAGAGGAGGGAAGGCTGAAACACATATTAATCATTTTGTCATACAGGCATGAATGGATTTTTGAAGACCAGAAATATATAATAACAGTTCAAAATGTCACATCTCTATTTCTCTGCTACTGGCAATGATAACATTAGCACGCCCACCCTGTGTCAGCCACTGTCACCAACTAGAAAGTTGGTGGCATGTCGGGTAGGTACTATTTGATATTTTTCCTCCAGCTGAGACGGTCCAGAGAGGTTAAGTAACTTGCTTAAGGTCACACAGCGGGTAGGGAGCTCAGTCAAGCTTCCCACTCCCAAACCCATGGTATTTTCATTAAACTCAGCCACTAAGAAACATTCTTTACTGCAGCTTTATCAGGGTGGGAGGCAGAGGTTGGTGAGATGGTGGCAGTTGGGGGGGGGGGATGATATTATCGTTCTTTTCTAATTATCTTGGAGCAGAGTCAGAGGGAATCAGAACAGGAACCAGAGGAACTGACCTTGAAGGCTACGTCTCCTGAAGAGCCCTGGGCCAACTGGCCATTGTTGTCTGTGGCATGTATTTCTAGTGCAATTATCCCATCCTCCTCTTACAACTCTCTCAGAAGTTCCTCTCGTGATCATTAAAACTAGCTCTGGGCTATGGCTTTGAAAGTGGCCGGAAACGCCCAGGGCTGGATCATGTCCTCGTTAAGCAGGGACTGCCTTCCAGGGACTTCAACAGGATTTCTGCCCTGTTACAAATTGAGGGAGATGCGACAGGGCTGTGCCAATTACAGGTGGGTGACTCTCAAAAGAGGTCGTTCTCTTTTTGCTTTCAGAGATTTTAAGATTTCCGGCTCCATTTAAACTCAAAGGCAATTCTGTGTCTCCTACGGTCTGTTGCAGGCCTGAGGGTCACAGAGTGGGGAGCTGAGAAAGGAGCAAGGAGGGAGTGAGCATTCAGAAGGGGAGGCAGCATTCTCCAGTGGTTCACCCACCTGGGGTTCTGGTGGTCTCAGATTTGCTGGCCTATTCTGCCACAATTTTGCACAAGGAAATATAATTCTTTGTGCCTCAGTTTTGTTTTCTGAGACAAATAGGTTACCACAAAGGATTAAGTGAGATTGTGTATGTCAAACACGCAGCACAGTGCCTAACATTTGGTAGCATTCAAAAACACTGTTCCTGAGGCTCTGGTTCAGGGATGTCTCCTGAGACATGGCCTATTCTTTCCCTGGGACACGGTCAGTCCCCAGCATCCTAGAGCAAAGCAAATAGACATGGGGAGTGTTCGCAGAGAGGCCCACAGTCACTGTGAGAAATGAGGCAAGTCTCCTCCAAGTGTCTGTTTCCTCATTCATAAAATGTGATGCTAATGTTCATTTGTCCACTCACGCACTCATTCATTCATCATGCTAGTGTGCTAGCTTCTGGGATTCAGCAATGAGCAGGAGACATAAGGATACTTTCCTCCTGGAGTTTACACTCCAAAAAGGTGGCCTTAAAATAAACAATTAAACATCCTAGCACTTTGGGAGGCTGAGGCAGGTGGATCGCTTGAGCCCAGGAGTTCAAGACCAGCCTGGGCAATGTGGCAAAACCCCATCTCAAATATAAAAATTAGCTGGGTGTGATGGTGCATGCCTGTAGTCCCAGCTACTCGGGAGGCTGAGATGGGAGGATCACTTGAGCTTAGGAGGTTGAGGCTGCAGTGAGCCAAGATCACATCACTGAACTACAGCCTGGGTAACACAAGATCAAAAAAAAAAATTAAACAAACAGAATAGATTTATAGGTTATGATCATCAGTGCTCTGAAAGAAGATAAGATGATGTGACAAAGAATAACTGGGAGGACTCTGCTTCCAATAGGGTGGTCAGGGAAGGCGTCTTTGAGGGGTGACATCTGAAGGAGCCCCCATGATGAGGAACCAGCTATGAGAAGAATGGGGTTAGGGAGAGTATTCCAGGCAGAGGAAACAGCAAGTGCAAAGGCCCAAGGTGATTGAAGGGCTTGATGTGTCTGAGGAATCGAAGATGGTGGGTGTTTCTGGGAGTGGAGAGAGGGAGGTGGCGGGGAGTAGCAGGAAATGATCCTGAAGTGTTAAATGTGATGGTGTGTGTGAATGGTGCTTCATAGACTGACCACAGGGGATTAGGATGCTCAATATGGCTGGAAAGCCTAATAGGGCACAGCCGGGACCACCAGCCCAATTGGAAGATTACTGTGGGCTGAAAGGTCTTGGAAACTGGGGGAAGAAGGAAAAACAAGGAGAGACAGGGAAGAAGGAAGGAGAGTGGATGGACTCCTCCTCCCTGGACATGACTGTTTCCTGGGCACTGTGCTAACAGTGTTTCTTCTCTTCATCTTCCTAGCCACCCTGTGTGTTACATATGAGGAACTTAACAGTGGAAAGGGTTAGTGATTTGCTCCCATCATACACACCATTTGAACCTAGATCCTTAGGGTCCCTGAGAGTGGGCTTACAACTTTTGTAACACACAGCTTCCCACTTTGAATCTGTGGCTCTTGGTCAAAGGGGGTTGGCTTTTCCTAACAGTCCGCTCTGGGCCAAGCACTCTCCTGGGAAAGCTCTGAAGGAGACAAACTTAATCTAGGTAAGCCCTGAAGGCTGACAAGGGATGCTGCCCTGCTGGTCCCCAGCTGCCCTGTGAGGCTATGTGATGATCACATGATCGGTCCTGATGATTAGAGAGATGAGACCTATAGAATCCAGGACTCACATCAAAGATGACAAATGGCGCAGCCTGTCTACTTTGCTCTGTAATATTCCACTAAGGCCACAACTTTTCGACAAGGATTCATCTGCTTGTGAAAGCTGATCCTCGAGGCACAGTGTCTTGTCAGGCAATCTCAAGTACATCTAAGAGTGTACCTAAGAGGCTCTTAGACTCTTAGACTCACAGGGCTTGGAGGAACTTAGGTTCCATGCCTGCATTCTGAGTAGGTCCCCGAGTTGGCTTGCTCAGTGCCAGTGACATGTCTCACCACTCCCCTGGATGGCTGCACTGTTGGCCCTGAAAAAGTTCTTTATACTAAACAGAAACCCAGTAACTTGGCTCTAGTTCTACCTCTGAGAACACACTGTGTAAATCTGTTGTCTGTTCTCTGGGATAAACCTACAAATGTTCCTTGGAATCTTCTCCAGACCAAATAAATCCAAGTTTTTCCATAATGTAAATTTGAGTCTTTTCTACTATTCTGTTCACAGCTTGTGAGTAGCAAAAAGAGTGAAGATTCTAGAGTCAGGAGATCAAGGTTCAAAATCCTGTTTAGTGACTTATGCCTGTTCAAGTCATGTGTGTGTGTGAATGCGTGCGCATGCATGCACATTTGCAAACATGTATAGGGGATGGGAAGGTAGCGGCATGGGACCCTGAGCACTCGGGAAGCTGTCAAGAGCCAAGTTTGTCCTCAGAGCTTCACATCCAAGATCTAGTTCATCCTCACAACCCCGTGAAAGTGGGATACCTGCCCTTCCTTGCATTTTACACATGAGGAAATTGAGGCTCAGAGAGGTTAAATTACTTGCTCAAATTCCACAGCTAGTGACATTAATTGGGTTTGAAATGGGGTATTTCTGATATCAAAGCTCTGAAATAACAGTTGACATTGCTGAGGGTTAGATTTTTCATCTGTAGATGGGAGTAAATAATGGTGCCTTCTTCATGGTTCTCAATGATACTGGGACATTAAAAGGAAGTAATGCAGGGAAAAGTCTTAGGAAAATTCTAAAGCACTCTATAAATTATACTTACTTTATTTTCTTTTTTATTGTCTTAATTATCTAGAGAGTTGAGGAAATGTTTTTGTTTTAGTGATTTTTTTTTTTTTGGCTGCAAAAAATAGATAACTATTTTGGTTAGCTTAAGCAAAAAAGGGCATTTCCTTAGGGATCCTGAGGATATGTACAGAATTCATAAGAAACAAGTGACCAAACCTCAGTATGGGCAAGGATCAGGGACAGTCTTTGGACATTGGCAGCAGGAATTCTAAAAGTTTGTTCTATAAGTTTTACTTTAACACAACTCAACTGCAATGAATCCTAGTCTCTGTCTCTGAGGTCGAAATTCCCTGTTTTTGTTAAGGAGATCGACTGGTTTAGCAGAGTCATATGGTATTGATATTGCCAGTGGAGACCCACCCCTGAGAACTGGAGGCATGGTTCAGGGCTGGGGAGTTACTGTGAGCCAGGCAGCTTGTAGCTTGTCCAAGAGAGGTCAAGAAGGTGCGTGGTCGCACAGCCTTCAAAGGCATTCCTCATGGGGGTATTTGACTTATGGCAACCATAATTATTTCGTTGTTTACCTCCTTTACTAGAATATAAACTCCCCTGGGGCAGGAAGTCTATCTGTCTGTTCATTATTATAATATCAGCTCCTAGCATAGTGCCTAGTACGTGACACTAACTCCATAAATAAACGCGGAAAAAGTTCTGGATCCGATACAAATGAAATCACCCTCTCTCCCTCTCTCTCCCCCCCTCCTCCTTTCCCTCCTCTTCCCCTTCAATTATTCATTGAACAACTATTTATTGAATGCCTACTACATGTCAGCAACTGTTCCAAGTATTGAGATACAACAGGTTTTGCTTTTATTCACGTTCTTCTCTCCTCCCTCCATCTCTTGTTTCTTTTTCTCTCTGTGTGTTTCTGTCTTTCTCTTCCATTGCAGAGAGACTTCCTGCATGTGGCAAGGAAGATGCCTATTTGTGGTCACTAATAACAAATCCTTCCATCTTCATTACTTAAAAGCAGTAAGAATGTTACCCTGCTAGTTACACGTTTCTTGCGGGTAAGGGGGTGTTGGGAGAGGGGAGAAGGTGCTGATTAGGCCATCTAATCGCTGGGCCGAAGGAAAGAGACCTTGGCCTGGGTCCCACAGTGGAGGGCAGGAAACACGGCTGGTCCTGTGGCTGGCAGCTCTGCTGGAATGATACGGCTGGAGTGGAGTTGGAGCTCTTTTAAGGGAGCTGGATGAACAAAACAACAGATGTCCACTCCAGGAGCATATGAATGCAGGGCCCCTCTCATGCCTGATGCCAGAGTATACTCATCTCCACTCTTTCTCAGTGCATGGATTTCTTAGTATACTCAAGACTCCATCAAGAATTGCTCATTACAAGTGTTGGCAGCTGTGAGCAGAGCATTTATTTTATTTCTTTTCCTAGGACTTGGATAAATAAGGGAATTCAGCAAATATGGAGCACCTTATATGTCCACACAACATGTAAAAAGGCAAGGATGGAAATAAAGACAGAAAAAAATTCTGACATGGGGATAGCCTGAATATAGAATATGTTATGTATTTTAAAAAGACATCAGTTACAACTAACATCTAACTTAGACCTTAGGAAAAGTAATTGTTTCAGAAGCTGTGAAAGGAAGAAGGTGATACCCATTATATGCTGAGTTTTTTGTTCTAGTTATTCATTCATTCAATCAACCTTCATCAAGTTTTCTTCTATGTACCAGGCGTTGTTTTAGTTGCTGAGATACAGTAGTGGACTCCACAGAAATAAAAGTCCACGCCTTCTCAAAGATTACATTCTGCTGGAGAAAAACAGATAATAAATGAAATAAATAAGTATATAGTCACATAAAGATGATATGCAAATAGAGAAAAAGCAGGAGATGGAGATATGATGTGCTGGGGAGAGGATTACAGTTTTGTGAGCAAAGAATTGAGGAAGGTGATGGGTGGGTCTTAAAGATGTCAAGGGGAAGAGATTCTAGGCAGAAGGAAGAGCAGGTATCTTCCACTCCTATCCCCCTTATGGGAGCCTGCCCTCAACATCTGAGAGACAGCAAAGAAGCCAGTATGACTGGAAGGGACTGAACAGAGTGGGAGCAGAAGACGAGGTCAGTTATGTAATGGCACAGGGTGGAGGCAATGGGAAGATCACACTTGGGTCTTCCAGGACACGGGAAGGACTTTGACTTTTCCTTGGAGGCTTCTGGGCAGAGAAGTGGCATGAATTGATTCATGTAAGTTATGCCAGTCACTATTCTCAAGGACTCTGAGAGTCTGGAATTATTGGCCCCAGTTTGTGATGTGGAATTAGGATCAGACAGGGCATATAACTTCCCCAGCATCACACCACTAGTGAATTTTAGAGCTGGGTTTCAAATGCAGCACTTTCTGATGACAATGCTCTTTCCATTAGACCACACTGCCTCCCCCAGTCCTTGTTCCTTTATTTTGTCATGGTTAAATATTAAAAGACCCACCTTGTCCATCTTCATTTTAAATTTTCTATATTAATTTTTAATATCAAAATGCGTAATTATTCCCAAAACACCTAAATAATAATTATCAATTGTGAATTTCAGAGAATTATACTTATATATTTCATAATCTACAGTTATAATTATAATAAAATTTGCTTTATAGCCTTTGTTATGCCCACACTATCATTTAAAACTTTATTGCTTCTGAGGTTCTGATCATTTTTTTGTGTAACGGTTAAGAGTTCTCCTCCTTGATTTTCCTGGCAAAATTGACAGTTTCCCCTCTGAGCTGTCTCAGCGCCGTAAATACATTTCTTCTAGCACCCTAGCAAGACTGGATTATGATTCTATTGTATCTGCCTGTCTGTTTCTCTAAACTTCCATTCTTTAGGGGCCAGGATCACATCAATAGTAAATACCCTCGGGGTGTCTGTCCTGCCCAAGACCTGATTATTCCTCTCCCTTAGATGGCTGCTGCCCTCCACAGCCACCCTTGAATCATGCATCACCATCCTAATGGCCACTGTTGCTTGGACCAGGGATGGGTGTCTGGTCTGAGCGGGGCCATTCAGATGATCTTCTGGAACTGAGAGGTGGCCCCAGAGATTCTGGCTTTGTCTCCTCTTCACAGAGGAGATGTAAACTCAGGAGTATTACTATGGCCATCTTCTGCTTGCCATATAGACTGACTGGGAAGTATGGAAAGCTGGTTTCTGTTGAGAGAAACGAGATGCAGAGAAAGGCAGAGACTAGGGACCAGAGAAAGCCCTGCCTGGGATGCTGACAGATCTCTATTTCCTTTGTTTAGCCTTTTAAAGGGCTGGCTGCACTCTCACCTTTAAGATTCACAAAATATACTGTATTCTTATGAGAAATTCAATTTATTTATTTATTTATTATTTATTTTTGCTTTTGCTAGCTTGAGCTGGTTTTCGTTACAACCAAAGACTACTAAATAAAACAATGTCTGGTTCATTTGCATAACCCCGGACCTAATTCTATATCAGTGTCTCACTCAAAGACAAATCTTGGTTTGGCATTTTCTAGACCTGAGTTTAAGTGCCAGCTCCACAGATTACCTTGGCATATTGCTTCACCACTTTGAGCCTCCATTTCCCCTTCTGTAAAATAGGGATAATAAAGGGGTTGTTGTAGGATTAAAGTGTTGGGCATGCATTCGTTGTTGCTCAGTATTTGGCAGTTGTTATTATTAATGCAAGTTATGGAATGTATGCAAGGAGAGACAATTGTTCTTGACCACCTCACTTCGGAGTGGACCTGGATGGTAGATGAGTGGTTAGAGCTCGGACTTTGGAGTCTGACTTCAGGAGTTTGGTTCTCAGATTCACCATTTACCAGCTGTGTGAACCTGGGCAAATTATTTGAATTGTAAACACGTCTTGGTTTCCCTATCTAAAAATCGCACTTTCCCTATCTTTGGCACTGCAAGCACATAGACTTCAGCCTAATCTGACTCTGATAGCCAATTTGGCCTAAGAGGTGGGAGGCTTGGATCCCAGCCCTGCTTCTGTCACTGGTCGTAACCTTGAGCAAGTCATCACATCTCAGTGGACCTGAGTTAGGAAAGTGCTCATCTGCAAAACAAGCCTAATCTGTGTTCTGCCTGCTTCACAAGATTGTCAGGGAAAGGTCACAGAGGATCAAAAAGAAACAATGCATTATTTTGTACACTTCAAAGCACTATACAGATGTAAATTAAGTACTCTGAATTATTCATATGCATGCCTGTCTCCCATGCTGACTTGACTTATCTGTAAAATGGGACTGTGACATGCTGACATTGCATGGTTGTAATGAGGCTGAAGTGAGATAACATGAAAACACAATTCCAATTTCTGGCACCTACTTGTAGCCCAATCCGTGGTGGTCTTCCTTTCTCCTTATTTTACTAAGCAGTTCACTGCCTTTTTTATTTTTAAAATTTGGTTCTCCATCTGGTCCTGGAGTTAGGGCAGTGTGACCTTATCCCCATTTCACAGATGAGTAACTTGAGGCTCTGAGACATTAAGTAACTCAGCAAAGTGATACAGCAGTGGCAGAAACAGAACTGGGAACCTATTTTCCATTCACCCCTGTATAGCCAGTAAAGAACTGCACTGAGGAGCCAGCCTTCCTCTGCTTCCTGTCCCAGCTCCCCACTTACTAGGTTGGGAACTTGGGCAAATTACTCAACTTCTCTGTGCTGTTGTTTCCTCATCTGCAACCTGGGCAGAGTAATTACTCCTGCAAAATTGCAGTTACCACAGAGAGTGGTTGGAAGGATTAAACAAGGTAATGCTATGCTGCTTAGCATGTGCCTAAAATGTGGTAACTGCTCTCTAAGTGTAGGTTATTATACTCTACGATCTGCTATGGATGCGCCACAGTGGGTACAGATGTGAAAACAGAGGGTCCTGGGATTAAGTCTAGGCTTGGCCTCTTACAACTGTGTGGCTTGGACGGGCATGGAGCCTCCCTTCCGTCTCTAACGTGGAGAGGACAGTGCCTGTCTTGGGAGATTAGAAGTCATGGCACATGTGGATTCTTTAGAAATGTAGCAAGGTAGGTTGGTGGGATGAAGCAGGGCTTGGGTAATAATAGCAGGGAGGTTGAAAACAGCTTGATGTGCACAGATGTGTTTTGAGGAGCAATGAGGAGTGGCAGGAATGAAGAGTATAGATGTAGACAAGTCTGGATCATGGAGGACTCTTTATGTCAGCAGAGTAGCTTGAGTCTCTTCAGACTCACTGCATGCTTTTATGTGGGGAAGCAGGGAACAGAGTTGGCCTGTTGAGAGATCATTCTGGCAGCTGTGAAGATAGATCGGAATCCATGTGCGCAGTGCCAGGGCTCTGTTAGAAAGTGTTATGGGCGAGAGATGGTAGTGACCTGAAGGAAATCCAAGGGTGTGGGATGAAGACAGGGAATGGCTTCTATGACTACTGACTACTGGTTGAGGGTCTGCTATAGGCTTGGAACTCACCATTCCAAGTGCTTTGCAAATAGTAACTCATTTAATTACCTTAACAATGCAGTGAGGTAGGTACTATTATCCCCAGGTTACAGATTCAAAGATGAGGCCCAGAGAAACTAAGACATGTTAAGGAGATCAAATCCACAGGACGTGGTGAATACTTTGATGCGGGGTGGTGGGGAGCAATAAAGGGGTAGGTGACCAGCTTTCTGGCTGGGATGACTGGCTGGAAATTCAGACACCCAGCAGAAGGAGCAGGCTGGGGAAGGAGGCAGGAATGCTATGAGTCAAGCTGTGTCTATGTTGAAGACACCAGTGGCTCCTGTGAGAGGATCTCTGCATTGGATAGGTATGTGGAGCCCAAGAGTATGCCAGATGTGGAGGCGTGGCCTTCAACCTGGTTTCAGGAGTCATGAAGTGGAGGGAGAGATAGAACCCTCTCAGGGAGATCTGAGGGTTGACGAGAGAGGTAAGGTCTGAGCCCTGGAGTATGTGACCTTCACAGACGTTTCTGTCTCCTGCGTCCAAAGCCTGTTCTGGTCCCAGGGCCTGGACTGAAGTGCAGGCTGCATGCCTCTCCGGAGCTCTCACTCCCACTTGTGGGGAAATTAACGTTTCTGCATGAAATGTCAGAACAACCAATCCCCATATGCTTTGAGGTCAGGAATGTTGTGCCTGGGCCGAGTATGGGCTGATCACAGGTTCTTCTGTGAATCTTCTCAGCTCTTAGACCTTGAGGGACAAAGGAGTTGTGGGAGTGTTACCGCTTTCCTCCCACCCCGCTCTCTCCCTCCCTCTCTCCCTTTACCTACTTCTCTCTTGCCCTCTCTGTTTCTTTTTCTTTTCTTTCTTTTTTTTTTTTTGAGACGGAGTCTCGCTCCGTCGCCCAGGCTAGAGTGCAGTAGTGCGATCTCGGCTCACTGCAAGCTCCGCCTCCCGGGTTCACGCCATTCTCCTGCCTCAGCCTCCCGAGTAGCTGGGACTACAGGAGCCCACCACTACGCCCGGCTAGTTTTTTGTATTTTGTTTAGTGGAGACGGGGTTTCACCGTGTTAGCCAGGATGGTCTTGATCTCTTGACCTCATGATCCGCCCGCCTTGGCCTCCCAAAGTGCTGGGATTACAGGCGTGAGCCACCGCGCCCGGACTCCCTCTCTGTTTCTTTATGTCCCTGTGCTTTGCTGCTTTGTTTCTGCCTATTTCTGTCCTACTGTCATTCTGTTGCTCCCTCTTTCCCTGTCTCTGACCCTTTTTGTCTCTCTTTGCTTCCCTCTTTCTCTCTGTCGCCATGAGTCTCTCTCTGCTTCTCTCTTTGTCTCTGCATGCTGGTTTCTGTCTGTGTCTCCCTCCTTGCATATCTCTGTGTCTCTCCCTTTGTCTCTCTCCATCTCTTGTCTTTGTGTCTATGCACTGCCCGCCCCCACCGCCACACCTCTGTGTTTTCTTTCTCTCCTTTCCCTCCTCCCTCCTGTCTCCTGCCTCTGGGAAGAGGGCAGAGATCACTGGGCAGGATTGGATGTCATTAAACGAAAAAAAAGAGAAAGGACTCCTTTTCTCCTGCTTGCCTCTGGGGAATGCCTAACAATGAGAAACACTTTGGTGGGTAATCGATAGGAACAAGATGCAACTAGACATCTTTGTTGGGCAGTGCAGCCGGCAGTTCCCTCTGACTGGAGCCCCTGGGAATGGCTGGCCTCTTGACCAGCCTCAAACAGAGTGTATCACAGTGCAGCGGACTTGAAGTGTGAGCCCAGCACATCCTGACCTGGGGGTGCCTCATTTCCATCCCCCCCTCCCCTCCCTCCCCTGCCCTCTTCTCGCCTGGTAATACTTCACAAATATCATGAATAGAAAGAGACACTGTAACAGACAGGACATAGATTGTAGCCAGCATAGGTTGTGGGGCTGGCTAACAATCAGGGTTTCTCTAGCTGGAGCACTACTCTTAATCTTTCTAAACCCCAATTTTCTTGTGTGTAAACTAGGGAGAATAACAACCGTAATCAATTCTAGGCAAGGCAGCTGGTTTTCTTTTTGAATAACAAATTTGATCAGCACCTCCCCGACTTAGACCCCCACAGCATGGATCATATCTGTCTTTTTTCAATGCTGAATCCCAGCACCAAGCTCCAAGGAGATGCTTAATAAGTGTGTGTGGCAACACAGTAGGTACTTCATATGTGTTTGTCAAATGAACAGACTACCTGCTTCTAGACCTGTACTGCCTGGCTGTCTTCTTTCTGCCTCTAACTTCCCAAAAAAAAGAGCTCCAGGCTAGACTCTAGATCTTTGCTCTTGCTTGCCAGCTTTGTCTTCCCTTTTCTGCCTTTTTCCTCCCTGCATGTGGCCCTCTGAGGTTATGAGGATGAAAGGAAAAGGAAGTGAGTCACACAGGCAGGAATTCAGAACACTGGCCTCTTGGATATAGCCAAACCAGCAGAAGCGTCCACATATGGTATCATAGAAAGTTAAAGAAGGAAGAAAACTTAGAGATCATCAAGTCTGCTCATTCTTCTCCCATTTTACAGATGGGCAATCCGTGCCCAGAGAAAGGGAGTGACTTGCACAAAGTACTATAACTTGTCTCTGTGGCAGAGAGAGGGACAGAAGAAACTTAGAGTTCTACAATTTCTCAAAGTTCCTCAAACATTATCCTTGGTCTTTAGTTCTACACACCCTTATGCATTGGTAAGGGCAAGCCCCACTGAACCCCATTCTCCATTTTAGTCTTAGTAGTGGCGCTCACAAAACCTTCCCCATTCTTCTTAATGCAATCCAACCATAAGATGCATTGCTAACAGAGGCAAACAGGGCCTCTCACTTTAGATGAACCAGCCACAAGAAGCTGCTTTTTGACAGGCTTGTGTCCACTTATCCTGATTCAGCTAGACTGTCGGAGGCTTTCCATGACTCCTCCATTCTGACTAAGATTTGCCATTTTTTTTTTTGCTTCCTCTATACCTTGTATATATCTTATCTTTGGACATCCCACATTGCTTTTTTTAAAATCGGCTTTATAACATATAATTTATGTACAATAAAATTCACCAATTTTATATACAACTCAATGAGTTTTGACAAATACGTACAGTAGTATGACCCCCAGCACAATCAAGAAACAGAACACTTTCATTGGCCCCCAAAGTATAATAACATCCATACTCTCTTGAAGTCAATTTCCTACCATTGCCAGCCCCGGGCAATCATTGATCCAATTTTAGCTGTGATAGCTTTGCCTTTTCCAGAAGTTCATATAATTAGAATCATTTTGTATCTGGTTGCTTTCACTTAACATAATGTTTCTGTGACTCATCAATGTTGTTACAAGTATCAGCAATTCCTTCCTTTTTATTGCATTACAATAGTTATCCAGTTGTTCCAGCACCATTTAATTAAAAGACCATCTTTCCCACTGTATGGATGTACTGCAATTTATTTAACCATTCACGAGGTAATGGACATTTGGATTGTTTCCACTTTTTGGCTGTTGAGAATAAGGCTGCCATGAGCACTCATGTACAGGTTTTGTTTTATTTTTATACGCTTTCATTTTTCTCTGAGTAAATACTCAGGACTAGGATTTCTATGTTATATGGTAAGTGTATCTTTAATTTTAAGAGAAACTGACAAATAGCTTCCAAAGTTCTGTAGCATTCTCCATTAGCACTGGCAATGCATGGAAATTCCAGGTTCCACATCTCTGCCAACACTTGGAATTATCAGTCTTTTTATTTTTAACCATGCTATGGTGCAATCATATCTCATTGAGGTTTTAATTTACATTCTTCTATGACTAATGATATTGATCATCTTTTCTTTGGTAAAGTATATTCAAATTTTTTGTCCATTTTTATCAGGTTGGTTGCTTTCTTATTACTGAGTTACAAGTATTATTTTCATATTTTTTAAATTTTATATTTAATTGACAAATAATAATTACATATATTTATGGGGCATGACATGATGTTTTGAAATACGTTTACATAATGGAATGATTAAATCAAGCTAATTGACAAATCTCTCAGCTCACATACTTTTTATGTGTGGTAAAAATATTTAAAATCTACTCTTTTAGCAATTTGAAATATACAATGGATTATTTATTATAGTCACTATTCTGTGTGATAGATCACTAAAGCTTATTTCTTCTGTAAAACTGGAATCTTGTGCCCTTTTATTAACATCTCCCCTTTCCCCATTTACCCCCCTGCTCCAGCCTGTGGTGTTTACCATCTATTCTTTACTTCTATGAGTTTTACTTCTTTAGATTTCACATATAAGTGTGATATGTATCTTCTTGTGTTTTCAAAGTAAGTTCTTCATGATGAATATAATATTTTCTCCTAGTCTGTGGCACTTGCAAGTCCAGCACCATTTATTTCATCATGGCCAGACCTGAGGTTCGTTAATTATCTCTCTGAGCCTCAGTTTTTTAATATGTAAAACGGTGTTATAAATGTGTCTACTTCTTAGAGTTTGTGAAGATTAAAAGGAATAGTGCATATAAAACTCTTAGCGTAATGCCTAGAACTTAAATAAGAGCTTGAATATCATCAACTAACTGTTATTATTTGATTTGTATTCATTCCATCTCTGCTCAATCAATAATAGTACTCTTTGGGCATTAACTTGTATTATCTGCAGCTGGTAGCTGGAAATAACTGGAGCTCAGGAAACCAGTCTAGACTAGAACTAGAAATTTGGTTGGGAGGCCAAGGTGAGTGGATCACTTAAGCCCCAGAGTTTGAGGCCAGCCTGGACAACATGGTGAAAACCTGTATCTATAAAAAAAAAAAAAAAAAAAAAAAGATTTGGAAGTAAATAGCATGGTATGTAGCTATGATTTGGAGTCTGGAGGCTGACTGAACTCAGAGTGAGAGTGTTTATAGTGAGATGATGAGATAGCCACAGCTGGAACTCTGACCAATCCCAACTCTGACCGATCCCAACATTTGAGGGATAGGCAAAGGAAGAGGGCATGATGGAAGTTAATGAGATTGTGTAGCCTGAGAGGAGGAGGAAAGCCAGGAGAGAACAGAGTCATAGAAGCCAAAGAAGGAGTAAGATCTGAGATGGAAGGAAACACTAACAAACTCAAATGCTATACAGAAGGTGAGCCCTGAAGAAGAGACCAGTACCTTAGCCAAGAGCCAGTGCTTTCAGTGGAGAGGTGAACAGGAAGTCCAACGACAGGGTTAAGAAGCAAGCAAGTGCTGAGGTTTGGGAATCACCAAGCATATAGCTCATGTTTCCCCCACATTTCGTTTGAGATGGTGAGAGGAGAAAGGAGATGGTAGCTTTCTTTAGAGGGTAGCAGTCGTGGAGGGCAGTCTTCCTTTTTTAGTATGGGAGAGACTGAAACGTGTTCCTGGACAGATAGAACAGAACCAGTGGACAGCAAATGGTTGAAAGGACAGAAAAGAGAGTGGATAATAGTAAGGGTGAGTCCCCTGAGGTGGCAAGAAGGAATGGTGTCTAGAGTGTAGAATCAGCTTGGGGCAGGGGAGTGTGGTGGCTTTATACTACGTCAACCCGCTGAGACGGAACAATGTTTCTCTTTATAGTTGAGAGTTAGGATAGACCAAAAGAGAAATTTGCATATGATTTGAAAGAATGGCAGAGCCGTTACATCTTGAAGGTCACTGTGGTTAAACGTGGTGAGAGGTACATGCAGAGGTGCTGGCTGACTTCAGCTTGTTTTGGTTTTTGTAGTAAAAGTGAGATGCCAGAAAATTTGAGCTTATCTTTCTTCCCCTCAACTCTGCGCTTAGCTCTTCTTCCTTCCTGCCTGCCCTGCTAAGTGATGTTAACCCCAGAACCATAATCTGATGCAGCAGCAACAGCCTTCCAAAGACTTTTCCATCAGCTTTCTTTTGCAGATCCACTCCAGCAGATACATGAGCCTGGCTACGCATATTCCTTCATGAATGCCTATGTGCCCACTCATTCTGGTATTTCAAGATGGCTGCTTAGTGACTTATTTGATTTCCCATCTCCCTGTTGGGGTGCTTACTTACCCAGTTTCTACTACAGTTATAAAATGTGTTAATTCTACAACAAATTCATATTTTAGGATATTCACAGAGTTTCAGCTTTCCTGATTGAATCTTGATTGATGTGGGATGGGGGGACATTCTTACACACATTGCAAGACGACACTAAGAGTGGGTGCAGGAAGCAGTAAGAGGGTGGATGTCAAGGGAATTTGGGTCACGTGGTCTTGATGTCATATGAAGACATAGGAACTAGGTCAAATAAGAAAGATTTGAGTTAGGGTGGAGATTGAGGCTTGGAAAGCTTGGAAAAGCTCTGGAAAATGGTACAGTAAGTGGAAGAAAGAGTTGAGAGTATCCTCTGTTGAAAAGCCAAGGGGTTGGAATGTGTACTGGAGGAATGTTAAAGGAAGGAGGCCCGAATTCAAGTCCTGGCTTTACCCCTTCTTAGCTCCATGGCCTTGGATAAGTCACATATTTTCCTCTCTGCGGTTGCTTTTGCCTATTTGTTCTCCCTCCTCCTCTGCCCTGTATTTTAGGAAACTGCATTCCCAAGCTCTTCTGCCAGCTGGCTTCCAAATAGGCCTGGTCAGTGCATGGTACTAGTGGAAGCCTGGAGGAGAGAGAAGCGACACAATCTGGCTATTGCAGTCTCACTGCTCTGCTCCACAGCTTTGACTCTGAGTAGCCTTTTCCTCCAGAGCCTGGCTGCTGCTGGCCGGCAGCTCTCTTTACGGCTCTTGCCCCAGCCAGCAGGCCTGGAAATGGTAGCAATTTCCTGCTATACTACTCTGGGTTGCCACTTCTGCTTTTCCATTACCTGTGTAATGAGGCCCCTGAATAGTTTTCCTCTGCTTGAAATACTCGAGTGGATTTAGTTTTCCTGGCTGATATATTCATCTGTATGATGGGACCGCGATTGCCTACCTCCCAGGATAATTTTCAGATGACGAATGCGTTATTATAACATATGGGGAGAGGAAGGGAGGTAAGAGCTGCTCTATTAATTTAGGTACACTCCCCTGGGAGAACTACCACTGGTGATTCCCACTGCATGCCAGACACTTTCCATTTGTTACACATTAGACTCACCACCTGCGTGACCCTGAATGACTTACTTCACCTCTGTGTGCCTCAGTTTCCTCATCTATAAAGTAGGAACAATAGAAAGCCTGCCTCATCTACTATTGGGAGGATGGGCTGAGACATGGTGCAAAAAATGCCTAGTACAGGGCCTGGCATATATGAAGCACTCAGTGTTACCTATAATTATTACAAATGTGAACATTTATTATTGCTTTTTTATTTTTGTTTCACAAAAAGCTAGAGGACACCAAGGAGCAGTGAAGTTATATTACTTGATCATCTGAGAGACAGTAAGTTATAAGACTGATCCCACGTCCCCCTGACTCCACGATTGCGTTCTTTCCACTGCTCCCCTCTTGCCAATGTCAGTTACATGGAATTGAGCAGACACAGGTCCACAGCAGCAGTGACTGCTGCACTGAGCAGGTCTGCACTTCTTTGCTTCACCTTCCCCTCCCTTCTAGAGCCTCTGTAATTAAACTCAAGTGAAACCAATGCAGGGCCCTAAGAAGAGGATGGACATGATCCTGGTAATAAGTCCCCTGAGAGGCCTTGGCTAGCAAAGGGGCAGCTGGAGGTTCACAGAGGAAGGCAGCTGATGGCTGGGGGTAGGGGTGGGGTGGGGTATGTGTGTGTGTCTTCCGCCTGGCAGATTCCCTCCAAGTCTGCCTCAGAAGGAGCTGGGTGCATTCTGGAAGCTTTTTATTACCAATAGATAGCTCTCAGCTCAGCTCTCCCTTCCCCCAGCCTCCCCTCAGCCTAAAATATATTGAGCTGTGTTAGAGGCAAAGTATATTTTCGCCCTGCTAAGGCCCTCAGGGAAATGGCTACCATGGAGAGGAACCAGGGAGCTATGTAGGATTTTGAACCCCCTTCTTATGCCTGCCCCCCATCCTCCCAAGTGCTGCTGCCCGGCAGGCAGCTACCACCTCATGAGCTTAGTGATCAGCTCTGCTTCTAGGCTGGTTTTGACCTAAACAACCTCCTCCTTGGCTCTTTGCAGATCAGTGATTCTGTATCTTTAGAATTCAATTTATACCTGTAACCAGCTCCTTCTCTCCCCTGCCCTCTCCTCTCTCCCCTGCCAGCACTGAGCTTACTATTCTAGCAGATGAAGTGGAGAATACAAATAACAACAATAATGAATCTGTGCAGGTTGAACATACTTGTATCTGTTCTCTCATTTGAACCTCTTGACAACCTCTGTGAGGGAAATGGACCCAATGAGGAGAAAATTAAGCCTCAGAGTGATGAAATAATCTATCCTAGGTGATGTAAGTGTAAGTAGAAAGTGCCCCAGCTGGGATTCAAACCCAGAACTCTTAATCCTATGCCATGTTGCCTCCAAAGTGGTTGACACTAATTTGGATGCTGAAGTGCTGGCCTGTTGGTGTTATAGGCAGTTCTTTTTTGAGATATGTTGTCACTCTGCTGCTCAGACTATAGTGCAGTGGTGTGATCATAGCTTACTGCAGCTTGGATCTCCTGGGCTGAAGCAATCCTCCTGCCTCAGTCTCCTGAGTAGTTGGGGCTATAGGCATGCACCACCATGCCCTGAAAATTAAGAAAATATTTTTAGAAATGGAGTCTTTGTATGTTGCCCTGGCTGGTCTCAAACAACTAGGCTCCGGCAGTCCTCCCCACTCGGCCTCCCAAAGTACTGGGATTAGAGGCATGAGCCACTATGGGGCAGTTCCTACTGTTCTGTAGTACTCTGTCAAAATAGGGTTTTGCCAAACAACTGGAAAGCACGTGTTTTCATGAAGGATTGATGACCCTCCAGATTAGAACCTTGGACTGCTATTAGGCTGTCCTCTGCCCCTACTGAAAGCACTATCAATGTTTGTTGCCTGCTTCATGTGCACCATGTCTTTTTCATTCGGAACTCCTTGCAGCATGGATATTGCTATCATCATTTTGCAATTGGGATCCTATTTAAGATTACACAGCTAGTAAAGAGCAGTTACAGAATCCACACTTGAGCTTCTCCAGGTCTATAGGTTACTTCAAAAGTACCTGTCTCTTCCTATTGTGCTATACTATATCACATTCTTTAATGACTCCGAGGGTAAAAAATTGCGGTAAAGAGCCTGAGAATGCACTGTAACACTTCTCTTGTTGCCATGATTAGCACCTGTTGTCAACTAGGATTGTACTTGGTTTATAATGATAGAAACCTGACCACAGCGGCTTAACTAAATGGAAGATTTTTGTTCTGTTTTGTTTAGTGAACAAAAAGGTAGATGATCTTGAGCTAGTGCAAATGCTTGAGCAAATAGTCAATGCTCCAGGCTCCTTCTGGCTTCCTGCTCTGACATTCTAAGCATTTGGCTTTTGTCTTTATGGTTGTAGGCTGGCTGTCTTATTTCTAAGCATCAAGGCTGCACTCCAGGCAGGAAGAAGGGTAAAGGATAGGAACTACATGACCGTGGAGTCTGTCTCTTTCTATCAGAGAAACAGTAGCTTTTCTGGAATCTCCACTCAATAGTCTTTTACTTAACATCTATTGGCTGAAAATGGTCACATGGCTATCCCTGGCTATAAGAGAATCTGGGATGTTAGGATTTCTAGGTAGGTACATGGTCTCTTGAAACAGAGTTCTGTTAGTATAATAAGGAGAGTGGTGTCAGAGCTCAGAAAATGATACCCCAAAATATAGTGAACTAGAGAAGCACCTGAAAGACTCTAATCTTCCCTCTCCTCCCTGTCTTTCTGATCTTCTTACCTTCCTGAAGCACCAGGAGGGACTGTCTCTGGAATTTCCTTATCTGACTAAGAAAGCTTCTTTCTAAAAGAAATGTAATTGTCTTAAGATGCCCTCCTGGCCAGGCATGGTGGCTCACGCCTATAATCCCAGCACTTTGGGAAGCCAAGGCAGGTGGATCATGAGGTCAGGAGATAAAGACCATCCTGGCTAACATGGTGAAACCCTGTCTCTACTAAAAATACAAAAAAATTAACCAGGCGTGGTGGCGGGCGCCTGTAGTCCCAGCTACTTCAGAGGCTGAGGCAGGAGAATGGCATAAAACCGGGAGGCAGAGCTTGCAGTGAGCCGAGATTGCACCACTGCACTCCAGCCTGGGCAACACAGAGCGAGACTCTGTCTCAAAAAAAAAAAAAAAAAAAAGAAAAGAAAAGAAAAAAAGATGCCCTCCCTAGAAATCTCGTCAAATAACCAGGAAAGATTAACTCCTAGAGAAGAGAAAACACTGAGGGTCCTCACCATGTCCAGACAGACTTTTCATTTATTCTTCTGAGTGCAGCTCTGAAAGATTATCTGGGGAACTTTATCTACATAATAAGACATCTTCGTTCACAGCAAAGTTTTGCCCTTCACTTTCCCACCACCTCCCGAAGAGCTCAGAGGAACTTTGTCTTGGGCCATTGTTCTTTGGCCTTATTTATTTTCCCTAAAAATCACTCACTCCTATACCCCTCCATTCCCCTTCCCCCATGAAAAAGAACATATAAACATCTGTACTCCATTGGGTTATTGACTAATCATCCTCCTGTGATTTCCTTGTGATATGCATGTTAAATTCATTTTGTATGCTTTTTCTCCTATTAATCTGTCTATGTCAGTTTATTTTCAGTGAACCTTCAGAGAGTGGAGGGGAACCTTTCCCTTGGCCTCTGCAGTGGATGTAGAGCAGGGGCCAGCAGTGTTTGCCACCAATTTGCGCTGGACTTTACAGTAATGAGTTTCATAATCTCTTACTTTGACAGGACTTTTAAATTTCCAAAACACTTTTTTTGTTTGTTTGTTTTTTTGTTTTGTTTTTGTTTTTTGAGATGGAGTTTTGCTCTTGTTGACCAGGCTGGAGTGCAATGGCATGATCTTGGCTCACCACAACTTCTGCCTCCCGGATTCAAGCGATTCTCCTACCTCAGCCTGCTGAGTAGCTGGGATTACAGGCATGTGCCACCATGCCCAGCTAATTTTGTATTTTTAGTAGAGTTGGGGTTTCTCCATGTTGGTCAAGGCTGGTCTTGAACTCTTGACCTCAGGTCATCCACCTGCCTCGGCCTCCCAAAGTTCTGGGATTACAGGCATGAGCTACTGCGCCTGGCTCTCCAAAACACTTTTATCTGTGTTATTCCTTTTGATCTGTATGACAGCCTTCTAAAAGAGGTAGGGTATGGATCTCCCAGGAGTTGTGCAGATCTGACATCATATTTCTCACTTTACAAAAGCGGAAACTGAGGTTCAAAGAGTTAAATGACTTGCTGAAAGTCATAGAACTAGAAAGTAGTAAGACCAGAAGTGGAGTTCAGTATTTGGAGACCCACTGTGACTTTGGATAAGTCGCTTACCCTCTCTGCTTGTTCTTTCACTTGTCAGATAGAAATAACAATTTTACCAACCACATAAGGTTGTCATGAGAACCCAATAACCCCTAGTCCTTGCACATCTTAAGTGCTTATTAAATATGAGAACAAACATTTAATATACTCAAATACATTTTCCTCATCATCCCAAAGCAAGTTAGAACCTTTTCTCCAACTTACCATTTCTCATTAACCTTGAGTGTAGAACGTATCAAACTATTCATACATTTTCCCTATGCACAAGCAATACTTAATTCCCATTAAACTGAGAGGTTCCTGAGGGAATGTTTTGAGGGAACTCATTTCTCAGGGCTCATGTTTTACTAAGAGTCTTCCACTCCATTTCATAGGAGGAAAGGATATTAGAGCAACACCTTTAACCTAACTCTTTGGCCCTCTGTTACTGCACCTGAGAAAGAACTTCTTCCTTTCTTCCTCCTTTCCTTCCTTTATTTTAATGATACGAAAACGCTCTTAGATAGGTAGAGCTAACGTGCTATAAAACATGCTTTTTGGGTGTGAAGAAAGTGCCTTTCCCATGTAGTTGGCTGAGTATCTGTTCCGTAGAGTCTTTCCTCAGTCAGATCTTAAGGGCTATCCTTGGTAGGAGGAGCAGGTGGTGGCATACGAGGAATCCTCGCTCTGACATTTGATTAACGCAGTGTTCACCAAGCAGCTTTACAAGCAATAATGTTGGTACCTTGATCTCCATTTGACTCCCTTGTCATTTTTCAATTGGTTCAGGACTGAGAAGCAGAAGGGTCTGATTTATCATCTCAAAGCAACCTTAACAGCAGAGACAGCAGCCTTCCTCCTGCTTTGCATCCTGGGTCCATTAGGACAATATCTGTGTTTAAAAATGAATGATAAAATGGATAATGAAAGTGAAAGCACCTTATAAACTGTAAAGTTCTATTGGATAGAATTTATTAGTGTTACCACCTGTTTCGTAAAATTCTCCTGTAGCTGAAAGGAATAGGCTAGGTTTTGGATAGAACATAATCTCTTCAGGAGGTCTTGGCAGTGTGGTGGGGATGGGGGATTGGAAGAAGGAAAAGGAAGAAAAAGTGATCTCAACATGTTTAAACAATGCATATGAAATGCTTTTGGAAGGTGAATGAAACCTGGTCAGCAGGGGTCTAGTGAGGAAGCATACACATGCAAGAGTAAGACAGGGTAAGACATTAAGCAAATACTATGAAACTCACAGCTAGGAAAGCACATAAAAGGAGAGGATTAATTTCTCTTTAGCTTTGTTGAGGCATAATGGGTATACAAAAACTGCACACGATAAATGTATACAATTTGCTGAGTTTGGACATATGTATACACTCCTGCTACCATCACCACAATCAATATAATAAAGCTATGCATCACCACTAAAAGTTTTCTTATGTCTCTTTGTTTTTTGTTGTTGTTTGTGTGCTTGTTTTTATAGTAAGAACACTTAACATGAGTTTTACCCTCTGTGATGGTTAATACTGACTGTCAACTTGATTGGATTGAAGGATGCAAAATATTGTTCCTAGGTGTGTCTGAAGTTGTTTCCAAAGGAGATTAACATTTGAGTCAGTGGACTAAGAGGCAGAGTCATCCTCAATCTGGGTGGGCACCATCTAATCAGCTGCCAGTTAGGCGAGAATAAAGCAGCCAGAAGAAATTGGAGAGAGCAGACTTGCTGAGTCTTCCAGCCTTCATCTTTCTCCCATGCTGGATGCTTCCTGCCCTCAAACATCAGACTCGAAGTTATTCAGCTTTTGGACTCTTGGACTTACACCACTGGTTTTCCAGGGGCCTTTGGGCCTTTGGCCACAGACTGAAGGCTGCACTGTTGGCTTCCCTACTTTTGAGGTTTTGGGACTTGGACTGGTGTCCTTGCTCCTCAGCTTGCAGACAGACAGCCTTTTGTGGGACTTCATCTTGTGATTCTGTGAGTCCATACTCCTTAATAAACTCCCCTTCATATATACATCTACCCTATTAGTCCTGTCCCTCTAGAGAACCCTGACTCATCATACACCCTCTTAACTAATTTGTAAGGTACAATATTTTATTTTTAACTATAGGCTATGTTGTACAGCAGATCCCTGGTACTTCCTTATTTTAGGTAACTGTAACTTCATACCCATTAAACAACAACTCCTCATCCCCTCATAACCACCATTCTATCGTCTACTTCAACATGACTATTTAGATATCTTTCATAAGAGAAATTTGCAGTGTTTGTCTTTCTGTGACTCACTTATTTTACTTAGCATATTTTTTTTTCCAAGTCCATCCGTGTTGTAGCAAATGGTAGGATTTTCTTTTTTTTAAAGGCTGAATAATGTTCCATTGTATGTATTTGGCCAACAGGTTTGTACCAAGTTGTTCAACATTGATAATCATTAGAGAAAGGCAAATCAAAACCACAATGAGATATTATTCCACATCAGTTTCAATGGCTACTATAAAAAAAAAAACAACAACAAAAGATAACAAGTGTTGGTGAGGTTAGGGAGAAGTTGGAACTCTTGTCCACTGTTAGTTAGAAAGTAAAAATAGTGCAGCTGCTATGGAAAACAGTAACGCAGTTCCTCAAAAATTAAAAATAGAACTACCATATGATCTAGCAATCTCACTTCTGGATATATATCCAATGAATTGATGTCAGGATCTCAAAGAGATACCTACACACCCACATTCATTGCAGCATTATCCACAATAGCCAAGATATGGAAACAACCCGTGTGCTCATCGGCAGATGAAAGGGAAGATTAATTTTAACCTAGAGGTAGATGTGAGTATAGGGTCAGGGAAGCCTTAGAAAAGGCAGAAATATTTGAGCTGAGGTTAAAAAAATGAATGGTCATTTTAATAGGTAGTGTTTGTTAGTAATAATAGCAACAACTATATTATTGAGTGTCATGTGTCAGATACTGTACTGAAAAAATGTATGTATGAAACCAGATAATGCTTATGGCAACCGTATGTGGTAGCTACTATTTTCATTGCCATTTTTTCAGATGACAAAAATGGTATTGGCAGAGAACATTTATCAAAGCCATGCAAGCCAGAAAAAGGGTATAATTCTTGTATGGCTTCTACAGGGCCTAAGATATATTAAAAATCAACTTTGTGTTTACTGTTTTGGGGCCGCTAGGAGTCCACTGTGAGTGCTGGAAGGGATTTGGGGGCACATAGAACTTTTGCCAGCCATCTCTCATGAGCATATACTCTCTAGAGTCAGAAGACCTGAGTCTGAATCTTGACTCTGTCATGCACTTACTATATTTGATCCTTTTAAATAATTTAACCTATCTGTACTCAAGTTTGTTTATCTATATAAAAAGGGCATAATACTCTGCTCACTAACAGATCTAATGTGGGATTATTGAGAAAAGGTCCATGAATACTTCTTTGTGTATAGTGAAAATACTTTATGTATAGTGAAAATACTACTGGCTCATTCCTGTTCTTATGCTCTTGTAACTCTTTGCTACGTGTCCCTTGTGCGCTGGGTGCTGGATAAGTCCTCATTACACATTAGCACAAAGTCTTACAACAGATGCACCAGAAAGGAGTTATCTCTAACCTCATTTTATAGATGAAGAATTGAATGCTGGGAGAGGAGTGTGATCACTCAGGTGACATGTGACAGAGCTGGGTAAAACTCAGGTCTGTGTGGTTCTCATCTCTGTGTCATTTCTACCACACCAGTCCCCTACCAAGATAAGATGGTAAATGCAACTGATATACAATACACAGCTCAAGGTCATTTTGCAGAAGACAGTTTGCCAAATGTCCTGTCTTCCAAATGAGCAATAACCAAATTTACATGTCTCTTTTAAAAAGCTTTAAAGTCTATAGCAGTTTACACTGTGTTTTAAAAGCTTTCAAGATTTCCCATTTTTAGTTGACCAATATCTATTTTGTCTTCCCAACAGTATTTTGAGGAATATTCCCGTACTTTCTGCCATAGCTCAGCAAGTGGAACATGGGCTGGATGTCTGTCCCCACCTGCTGCCTCAGCTAGGAGCCCTTTCAGGGCTATGAATCATTCAGCCATATGTGATAGCTCTTGGAGACATCTGGGTTGGCTTTGAGTAGTTTCATTTTTGCAGATTAGTCCATGTCACAGTGGGGTCTTCTGACAGTCAGGTGGAGTTTGGAACAACTGTAGCTTATGCTGTGACTATTTCCCCAGCTGTATAATTGAATAGGTATACTCAGGAATGGGCAGAATCCCCGCCTTGGCTCTCCAATCTATGGAGTGAGAATTATTACAGTAGGAAAGACCAAGCAGAAGCTCCTGGAACTTCTCTTCCACACCAAGATATTAATAAAAAGCAGTACCCAGACCTGGGAGAATGACATAGATTTGTGCCATCTTTAGATATTTGAAAGATGTATTGCCTCCCCCATTTAACTTGCCTGCCACATTGCCTTCTCTTCCTCCATCCACACTCTCTTAGTTGGGTTTCTCAAAGCAGAGCTAAAGTCAAAGGTTCAAATGCAAATAGTTATTAGACCTTTCTTTAGTATCTATCTACTGTTTCTTCTTTCATGGTGTCATTCAGTCTCACTTCTTTGATGGTGTCATTCAGTCTCACTTCTTTGATGGTGTCATTCAGTCTCACTTCTTTGATGGTGTCATTCATTATTTTTTACTATTGATATGCTGGTGACTCCTAAATTTATTCCCAGGCTTGTCCTCTCTACAGAGCTTCAGACTTGTATTGTCCAACTGCCCACTTAGCATCTCCATTCATAGTCTAATGGTTATCACCCAGTTAACATACCCAGAAAAGAACTATGAGCTGCAATACTCCACCTCCCAATCTACTATTCCTTATTTCAGTTATCCCCCAGTTTATTTAAAAACCTTGGAAGCATTCTTAATTCCTGTGGTTTGGTCTTCAAACTGTATCCTGAATCTGAGTACATTTCACCATTTCTATATCTCACATTGTACTTGAGGCTCCAGTAGTCTTTCCCCTGAACTGTTTACAATAGGTCCCAACTGGTTCTTGACTTTCATTCTTGCTACTCTATCATTTATTCTCTGTATAGCAGCCAAACAGGCCTTTAACGTGTATTAATTATTGTTATTCCCCTGTTCAAAACTCTGTAAGACCTTTTCATAATAGAGTAAAAGCTGAACCCTCATCATAGTCTTAAAAGCCCTACTTGGCTGACCCTGGCCTACTTCTCCCATCTTTTTTTTTTCAACTTTTATTTTAAGTTCGGGGATACATGTGTAGCATGCGCAGATTTCTTACTTAGGTAAATGTGTGCCATGGTGGTTTGCTGCACAGATCATTCCATCACCTGGGTATTAAGCCCAACATTCATTAGCTATTCTTCTTGAAGCTCTCTCTCCCCACTTTTCCCCCTGAGACAGGCTCCAGCGTGTGTTTTTCCCCTCCATGTGTGCATGTGCTCTGATCATTTAGTTCCCAATTATAAGTGAAAACATGTGGTGTTTGGTTTTCTGTTCCTGCATTAGTTTGCTGATGCCGGTAATGGCTTCCAGCTCCATCTATGTCCCTGCAAAGGACATGATCTCGTTCGTTTTTATGGGTGCATAGTATTCCATGGTGTATATGTACCACATTTTCTTTATCCAATCTATCATTGATGGGCATTTGGGTTGATTTCATGTCTTTGCTATTGTGACTAGTACTGCAATGAATATATGCGTCCCAGCTTATTTTCTAGTAAGTTGCTCCTTTAATTTACTCCATGCCCATCATGGTGTCCTTTTTAATGTTTCTCAAATCTACTGAGCTTATTCTGGCTTCAGAACCTTGTACTTCCTTCCCTTCTGCCTGAGATGTTTTCCTCTTAGACCTTTGAATGACACTCTCCTTCATGCTAATTAGCTATCTGCTCCAATCCTATCTTCTAAGAAAAGCTGATGACAACCTAAGAAATAGTCATCTCTGCTGTCTCAGGGGACAGAATAACCTACTACATCAAAGAGATGCAAATATGTGCCTCCAGCATAATAGATGTTAATTTCTTTCTCATGCAACAATCCAGGGCTGTATTAGTCCATTTTCACACTGCTATGAAGAACTGCCTGAGACTGGGTAATTCATGAAGAAAACAGGTTTAATTGACTCACAGTTCCGCATGGCTGGGGAGGCCTTAGGAAACTTACAATCGTGATGGAAGGTGAATGGGAAAGCAAGGCACGTCTTACGTGGAGGCAGGTGAGAGAGAGAGAGCACTGGGGAAACTGCCACTGATAAAACCATCTGATCTTATGAGAGCTCACTATTACGAGAACAGCATGGGGGAAATTGCCCATGATCCAATTACCTCCCACCATGTCCCTCCTTCAACATGTGGGGATTACAATTCCAGATGAGGTTTGGGTGAGGACACAGAGCCAAACCATATCAGGAGCCCATGAGGTATCTCTGACATGCTTCCCAGGTGGCATCCAAGGATGCTATAGTTGTTGCCACTTCTTAGCTAGCTGAGGAAGAGAAAGTACAAGGCAAGTAGTTTTGCTTCTAGGGGCTGACATGAAATTTACTATTGCTTATATTTCATTAGACCAAACATAGGTACATATCTACACCTAGCTGCAAGAGAGGCTGAGAAATATCATCTCTAGCTGGGTGGCCTTGAGCTTAGTTAATGAAACTGAGAGGTTCTATATAAAAAAGAAGATGGGGAGAAAAATACTGGGGGACAATTTGTGACCTCTGCCTCACCTGCATACCTTAACTTCCATATACCGTGTTTTCCTACTCCACAGTACTCATCCCAGCTTGACTTTATATATGTTTATTTGTGTCTTTGTTAATCTCCTATTGTTCCAACTCTATAGACTATCAGCTCATTGGGGAAGAACTGTGTTTTCACCACTGTATCCCTAGAGCCTGGGATGGTTGCACCAATAGGTATTCAAATATATTTGTTAAGTGAGTGAACAACAAAGAATTTGTCTACTTTTCATCTAATTTGTCATAATAGGTAGTTATTAGAAATAATGTTAACTTTGAATTTTTGTTCAACCTGTTATCTTAAAACAAACGGTTAGCTAATTAGAGTTTCCAGTGCGAATATTTCCAGTAGATATTAATACATTTCAATGGGTTGTAATCCATGGCTAGAGGGTATAGCAAATGAGTGCTTGTGCCAAATAAATTTTGTATTTCATAGAGCCATTAGTAGTAGTATGTGGTATTGCTACATTTACTAAATGATTTAAAAATTATTGATTTAAACAACCTAAGTGTTTATTACATTCCATGTGTATATAATCACTGACTGCTACTTCCAAGATAGTCATAGCCATGGAAGAAAATAGTAAGCTGGGGGGGAGGAGCCAAGATGGCCGAATAGGAACAGCTCCGGTCTACAGCTCCCAGCGTGAGCGACGCAGAAGACGGGTGATTTCTGCATTTCCATCTGAGGTACCGGGTTCATCTCACTAGGGAGTGCCAGACAGTGGGCGCAGGCCAGTGGGTGCGCGCACCATGCGCGAGCCGAAGCAGGGCGAGGCATTGCCTCACCTGGGAAGCGCAAGGGGTCAGGGAGTTCCCTTTCCGAGTCAAAGAAAGGGGTGACGGACGCACCTGGAAAATCGGGTCACTCCCACCCGAATATTGCGCTTTTCCGACGGGCTTAAAAAACGGCGCACCACGAGACTATATCCCACACCTGGCTCGGAGGGTCCTACGCCCACGGAATCTCGCTGATTGCTAGCACAGCAGTCTGAGATCAAACTGCAAGGCGGCAGCGAGGCTGGGGGAGGGGCGCCCGCCATTGCCCAGGCTTGCTTAGGTAAACAAAGCAGCCGGGAAGCTCGAACTGGGTGGAGCCCACCACAGCTCAAGGAGGCCTGCCTGCCTCTGTAGGCTCCACCTCTGGGGGCAGGGCACAGACAAACAAAAAGACAGCAGTAACCTCTGCAGACTTAAGTGTCCCTGTCTGACAGCTTTGAAGAGAGCAGTGGTTCTCCCAGCACGCAGCTGGAGATCTGAGAACCGGCAGACTGCCTCCTCAAGTGGGTCCCTGACCCCTGACCCCCGAGCAGCCTAACTGGGAGGCACCCCCCAGCAGGGGCACACTGACACCTCACACGGCAGGGTATTCCAACAGACCTGCAGCTGAGGGTCCTGTCTGTTAGAAGGAAAACTAACAAACAGAAAGGACATCCACACCGAAAACCCATCTGTACATCACCATCATCAAAGACCAAAAGTAGATAAAACCACAAAGATGGGGAAAAAACAGAACAGAAAAACGGGAAACTCTAAAACGCAGAGCACCTCTCCTCCTCCAAAGGAACGCAGTTCCTCACCAGCAACGGAACAAAGCTGGATGGAGAATGATTTTGACAAGCTGAGAGAAGAAGGCTTCAGACGATCAAATTACTCTGAGCTATGGGAGAACATTCAAACCAAAGGCAAAGAAGTTGAAAACTTTGAAAAAAATTTAGAAGAATGTATAACTAGAATAACCAATACAGAGAAGTGCTTAAAGGAGCTGATGGAGCTGAAAACCAAGGCTTGAGAACTATGTGAAGAATGCAGAAGCCTCAGGAGCCGATGCGATCAACTGGAAGAAAGGGTATCAGCAATGGAAGATGAAATGAATGAAATGAAGCGAGAAGGGAAGTTTAGAGAAAAACGAATAAGAAGAAGTGAGCAAAGCCTCCAAGAAATATGGGACTATGTGAAAAGACCAAATCTACGTCTGATTGGTGTACCTGAAAGTGATGCGGAGAATGGAACCAAGTTGGAAAACACTCTGCAGGATATTATCCAGGAGAACTTCCCCAATCTAGCAAGGCAGGCCAACGTTCAGATTCAGGAAATACAGAGAACACCACAAAGATACTCTTCGAGAAGAGCAACTCCAAGACACATAATTGTCAGATTCACCAAAGTTGAAATGAAGGAAAAAATGTTAAGGGCAGCTAGAGAGAAAGGTCGGGTTACCCTCAAAGGGAAGCCCATCAGACTAACAGCAGATCTCTTGGCAGAAACCCTACAAGCCAGAAGAGAGTGGGGGCCAATATTCAACATTCTTAAAGAAAAGAATTTTCAACCCAGAATTTCATATCCAGCCAAACTAAGCTTCATAAGTGAAGGAGAAATAAAATACTTTACAGACAAGCAAATGCTGACCGATTTTGTCACCACCAGGCCTGCCCTAAAAGAGCTCCTGAAGGAAGCGCTAAACATGGAAAGGAACAACCGGTACCAGCCGCTGCAAAATCATGCCAAAATGTAAAGACCATCGAGACTAGGAAGAAACTGCATCAACTAACGAGCAAAATCACCAGCTAACATCATAATGACAGGATCAAATTCACATATAACAAGATTAATTTTAATTGTAAATGGACTAAATTCTCCAATTAAAAGGCACAGACTGGCAAGTTGGATAAAGAGTCAAGACCCATCAGTGTGCTGTATTCAGGAAACCCATCTCACGTGCAGAGACACACATAGGCTCAAAATAAAAGGATGGAGGAAGATCTACCAAGCAAATGGAAAACAAAAAAAGGCAGGGGTTGCAATCCTAGTCTCTGATAAAACAGACTTTAAACCAACAAAGATCAAAAGAGACAAAGAAGGCCATTACATAATGGTAAAGGGATCAATTCAACAAGAAGAGCTAACTATCCTAAATATATATGCACCCAATACAGGAGCACCCAGATTCATAAAGCAAGTCCTGAGTGACCTACAAAGAGACTTAGACTCCCACACATTAATAATGGGAGACTTTAACACCCCACTGTCAACATTAGACAGATCAACGAGACAGAAAGTCAACAAGGATACCCAGGAATTGAACTCAGCTCTGCACCAAGGGGACCTAATAGACATCTACAGAACTCTCCACCCCAAATCAACAGAATATACATTTTTTTCAGCACCACACCACACCTATTCAAAAATTGACCACATAGTTGGAAGTAAAGCTCTCCTCAGCAAATGTAAACGAACAGAAATTATAACAAACTATCTCTCAGACCACAGTGCAATCAAACTAGAACTCAGGATTAAGAATCTCACTCAGAGCCACTCAACTACATGGAAACTGAACAACCTGCTCCTGAATGACTACTGGGTACATAAGGAAATGAAGGCAGAAATAAAGATGTTCTTTGAAACCAATGAGAACAAAGACACAACATACCAGAATCTCTGGGACACATTCAAAGCAGTGTGTAGAGGGAAATTTATAGCACTAAATGCCCACAAGAGAAAGCAGGAAAGATCCAAAATTGACACCCTAACATCACAATTAAAAGAACTAGAAAAGCAAGAGCAAACACATTCAAAAGCTAGCAGAAGGCAAGAAATAACTAAAATCAGAGCAGAACTGAAGGAAATAGAGACAAAAAAACCCCTTCAAAAAATCAATGAACCCAGGAGCTGGTTTTTTGAAAGGATCAACAAAATTGATAGACTGCTAGCAAGACAAAGAAAAAAAGAGAGAAGAATCAAATAGACACAATAAAAAATGATAAAGGGGATATCACCACCGATCCCACAGAAATACAAACTACCATCAGAGAATACTGCAAACACCTCTACGCAAATAAACTAGAAAATCTAGAAGAAATGGATACATTCCTGGACACATACAGTCTCCCAAGACTAAACCAGGAAGAAGTTGAATCTCTGAATAGACCAATAACAGGAGCTGAAATTGTGGCAATAATCAATAGTTTACCAACCAAAAAGAGTCCAGGACCAGATGGATTCACAGCTGAATTCTACCAGAGGTACAAGGAGGAACTGGTACCATTCCTTCTGAAACTATTCCAATCAATAGAAAAAGAGGGAATCCTCCCTAACTCATTTTATGAGGCCAGCATCATTCTGATACCAAAGCCGGGCAGAGACACAACCAAAAAAAGAGAATTTTAGACCAATATCCTTGATGAACATTGATGCAAAAATCTTCAATAAAATACTGGCAAACTGAATCCAGCAGCACATCAAAAAGCTTATCCACCATGATCAAGTGGGCTTCATCCCTGGGATGCAAGGCTGGTTCAATATACGCAAATCAATAAATGTAATCCAGCATATAAACAGAACCAAAGACAAAAACCACATGATTATCTCAATAGATGCAGAAAAAGCCTTTGACAAAATTCAACAACCCTTCATGCTAAAAACTCTCAATAAATTAGGTATTGATGGGATGTATTTCAAAATAATAAGAGCTATCTATGACAAACCCACAGCCAATATCATACTGAATGGGCAAAAACTGGAAGCATTCCCTTTAAAAACTGGCACAAGACAGGGATGCCCTCTCTCACCGCTCCTATTCAACATAGTGTTGGAAGTTCTGGCCAGGGCAATTAGGCAGGAGAAGGAAATAAAGGGTATTCAATTAGGAAAAGAGCAAGTCAAATTGTCCCTGTTTGCAGACGACATGATTGTTTATCTAGAAAACCCCATCGTCTCAGCCCAAAATCTCCTTAAGCTGATAAGCAACTTCAGCAAAGTCTCAGGATACAAAATCAATGTACAAAAATCACAAGCATTCCTATACACCAACAACAGACAAACAGAGAGCCAAATCATGAGTGAACTCCCATTCACAATTGCTTCAAAGAGAATAAAATAGCTAGGAATCCAACTTACAAGGGATGTGAAGGACCTCTTCAAGGAGAACTACAAACCACTGCTCAAGGAAATAAAAGAGGATACAAACAAATGGAAGAACATTCCATGCTCATGGGTAGGAAGAATCAAGATCGTGAAAATGGCCATACTGCCCAAGGTAATTTACAGATTCAATGCCATCCCCATAAAGCTACCAATGACTTTCTTCACAGAATTGGAAAAAACTACTTTAAAGTTCATATGGAACCAAAAAAGAGCCCGCATCACCAAGTCAATCCTAAGCCAAAAGAACAAAGCTGGAGGCATCACACTACCTGACTTCAAACTATACTACAAGGCTACAGTAACCAAAACAGCATGGTACTGGTACCAAAACAGAGATATAGATCAATGGAACAGAACAGAGCCCTCAGAAATAACGCTGCTTACCTACAACTATGTGATCTTTGACAAACCTGAGAAAAACAAGCAATGGGGAAAGGATTCCCTATTTAATAAATGGTGCTGGGAAAACTGGCTAGCCATATGTAGAAAGCTGAAACTGGATCCCTTCCTTACACCTTATACAAAAATCAATTCAAGATGGATTAAAGATTTAAACGTTAGACCTAAAACCATAAAAACCCTAGAAGAAAACCTAGGCATTACCATTCAGGACATAGGCATGGGCAAGGACTTCATGTCCAAAACACCAAAAACAATGGCAACAAAAGCCAAAATTGACAAATGGGATCTAATTAAACTAAAGAGCTTCTGCACAGCAAAAGAAACTACCATCAGAGTGAACAGGCAACCTACAACACGGGAGAAAATTTTTGCAACCTACTCATCTGACAAAGGGCGTATATCCAGAATCTACAATGAACTCAAACAAATTTACAAGAAAAAAACAAAGAACCCCATCAAAAAGTGGGCGAAGGACATGAACAGACACTTCTCAAAAGAAGACATTTATGCAGCCAAGAAACACATGAAAAAATGCTCACCATCACTGGCCATCAGAGAAATGCAAATCAAAACCACTATGAGATATCATCTCACACCAGTTAGAATGGCAATCATTAAAAAGTCAGGAAACAACAGGTGCTGGAGAGGATGTGGAGAAATAGGAACACTTTTACACTGTTGGTGGGACTGTAAACTAGTTGAACCATCGTGGAAGTCAGTGTGGCAATTCCTTAGGGATCTAGAACTAGAAATACCATTTGACCCAGCCATCCCATTACTGGGTATATACCCAAATGACTATAAATCATGCTGCTATAAAGACACGTGGCTATAAAGACGTATGTTTATTGCGGCATTATTCACAATAGCAAAGACTTGGAACCAACCCAAATGTCCAACAATGATAGACTGGATTAAGAAAATGTGGCACATATACACCATGGAATACTATGCAGCCGTAAGAAATGATGAGTTCATGTCCTTTGTAGGGACATGGATGAAGTTGGAAACCATCATTCTCAGTAAACTATTGCAAGAACAAAAAACCAAACACCGCATATTCTCACTCATAGGTGGGAATTGAACAATGAGATCACATGGACACAGGAAGGGGAATATCACACTCTGGGGACTGTGGTGGGGAGGGGGGAGTGGGGAGGGATAGCATTGGGAGATATACCTAATGCTAGATGACGAGTTAGTGGGTGCAGCGCACCAGCATGGCACATGTATACATATGTAACTGACCTGCACAATGTGCACATGTACCCTAAAACTTAAAGTATAATTAAAAAAAAAAAAAAGAAAATAGTAAGCTGGATGCTTTGGTTAGAAAAGTATTAGTAAACTTTATTAATTTTTATTATTTTAAGAAACTTAGAAATACGGAGAACTACAAAAAGTAGTAAGAAATACTCCTGTTCCTTCCACAGAGAATTAAGAATTATTAACATTTTAAAATATTTGCTTTCAGGTTTTTTTCTTGTGTGCATGTGTGTGTATATTAGTCCATTTTCACATTGCTATAGAGATGCTACCCAAGACTGGATAATTTATAAAGAAAAGAGGTTTAATTGACGCACAGTTCTACAGGGGTGGGGAGTTCTCAGGAAACTTGCAATCATGATGGAAGGTGAATGGAAAGCAAGGCATGTCTTACATGGTGGCAGACAAGAAAGAGAAGACAAGGGAAACTGCCAAACACTTTTAAAGCATCAGATCTCATGAAAACTCACAAGAGCAGCATGGGGGAAACCACCCTCATGATGCAATCACCCCACACCAGGTTCCTCCCTCGGCATGTGGGGATTACAATTTGGATTATAATTCAAGATGAGCTTTGGGTGGAGAGATAGAGACAAACCATATTATTCTTCTCCTGGCTTCTTCCAAATCTCATGTCCTTTTCATATTTCACAACCAATCATGCCTTCCTAACAGTCTCCCAAATTTTTAACTCATTCCAGCAGTAACTCAGAAGTCCAAGTCCAAAGCCTCATCTGAGACAAGGCAAGTCCCTTCCACCTCTGAGCCTGTAAAATCAAAAGCAAGTTAGATACCCCCAAGATACAATGGGGGTACAGACGTTGGATAAGTGCTCCCATTCTAAATGGGAGAAATTGGCCAAAACAAAGGGGCCACAGGCCCTATGCAAATCCAAAACCTGGCTGGGCAGTCATTAAATCTTAAAGCCCCAAAATCTTCTTTTGATTCCATGTGTCACATCCAGGAAATGCTGATGCAAAGGGTGGGCTCCCTAGGCCTTGGGCATCTCTGACTCTGTGGCTCTGCAGGGTACAGTGCCTGCAGCTGCTTTCATTGCCTGGCGTTGGGTGCCTGTGGTTTTTCCAAGTGCCTGGCGCAAGCTGTCAGTGGATCTACCATTTTGGGGTGCAGAGAACAGTGGCCTTCTTCTTACAGCTCCACTAGGCAGTGCCCCAGTGGGGACTCTCTGTGGGGGCTCCAACCCCACATTTCTGCTCTGCTTTGCCCTAGTAGAAGTTCTCTATGAGGGCTCTGCCCCTGCAGCAGACTTCTGCCTGGACATTTTGGCATTTTCATACATCCTCTGAAATCTAGGTGGAGGTTCCAAAAGCTCAACTCTTGTCTTTTGCCCACCTGCAGGCCCAACAACATGTGGAAGCTGGCAGTGCTTGGAGCTTGCACCCTTTGAAGCAATGGCTGGAGCTGTACCTTGGCCCCTTTTAGCAACAGTGGGAGGTGGAGCAGCTGCGATGCAGGTCATCAAGTCCTGAGGCTTCACAGAGCAGGGGGGTCCTGGGCCCAGCCCACAAAACCATTTTTCCCTCCTATGCCTCTGGGCCTGTGATAGGAGGGGATTCCATGAAAGTCTCTGAAATGCCCTGGAGACATTTTCCCCATTATCTTGGTGCTTAACATTCAGTTCCTCATTACTTGTGCAAATTTCTGTAGCAGGCTTGAATTTCTCCCCAGAAAATGGGTTTTTATTTTCTACCATATGGTCAGGCTGCATATTTGCCAAACTTTTCTGCTCTGCTTCTTCTTTAAACGTAAGTTCCAATTTCAAACCATCTCTTTGTGAATGCATATTGCTGTACGCTGTTAAGAGCACCCAGGCCACATCTTGAATGCTTTGCTGCTTAGAAATTCAGTCTGCCAGATACCCTAATCATCTCTCTCAAGTTCAAAGTTCCACAGATCTCTAGGGCAGGGGCAAACTGCTGCCAGTCTCTTTTCTAAAGCATAGCAAGAGTCACCTTTGTTCCAATTCCCAATAAGTTCCTCATCTCCATCTGAGACCACCTCAGCCCAGACTTCATTGTCCATATCACTATCAGCATTTTGGTGAAAAATATTCAAAAAGTCTCTAGGAAGTTCCAAACTTTCCCTCATCTTCCTCTCTTCTTCTGAGCCTTCCAAACTGTTCCATCCTCTGCTAGTTACCCAGTTCTAAAGTAGCTTCCACTTTCTCAGGTATGTTATAGCAATGACCCACTACCTTGGTATCCATTCTCTGTATTAATCTGTTTTCACACTGCTATAAAGAAATACCTGAGATTGGGTAATTTATGAAGGAAAGAGGTTTAATTGAGTCACAGTTCTGCATGGCAGGGGAGGCCTCAGGAAACTTAGAATCATGATGGAAGTTAAGGCAAAGCAAGGCATGTCTTACATGATGGCAGATGAGAGTGAAGGGGAAACTGCCACTGATAAAAACCATCAAATCTCATGAGAACTCACTCACTATCACAAGCACAGCATGGGGGAAACTGCCCCATGATTCAATCATCTCACGCTAGGTCCTTCCCTTGACACGTGGGGATTACAATTTGGATTACAATTTGACATGAGATTTGGGTGAGGACACAGAGCCAAACCATGTCAGTGTGTTTATACAAATAATATCTGAATAGATTCTCTTAGAAAATAAAAGCAAAACCACAACAGATAACGTGAATAACTCCTTCAACTTTTCCACCCAGCCCAATTCTCTTTCACTCCTCTTCAGAGGCAGCCATGATCACAATATTGGTTTAGATTCTGGAATTCCATTTTAAAAAATGCCTTAGCATACACACACACACACACACACACACACACACACACACACACACACGCACACACTCATAAGTAACATACAGTATCTTTTTATATTGTAAAGTTTTATTTAAATACTGCTTTGCTTTCCTCATCATGCTATATCTTTCTTTTTTCCACTCATTATGTGTTGAGGACCTATCAAGATTCATCTGTATGAATTTGTTCTATTCACATTCAGTACACTATTCTTTTACAAGAATACACCAAATTTTAAAAATCCGTTCCCCTATTGATGGCTGTTTGAGTGCTCCTAGTTTTTGCTTTTATAGACAATGCCACACTGGCAATCCTCATTGAATACATATGACAATATTTGCCTGAGGCATATCTCTAAATATGGCATCACTGGGTCCTAGAATATACACATTTAAAAAAAATTTTACTAGTTGCTGCCAAGTGCTTTACAAAGGTGCTACAACAATTTATACTTTGGCTAGCAATATATGATAATACCTGTTTTCCCATATTTTTTATGGTACTTGACATGATCATATTTTAACTCTATTGCCTATTTATTACAATATTCTTAATTCTGATTAACTGAAGGGAAAAATAAACCAAGAAGATTCTCTAATTCCAGTCACCATGTGTTTCAAATACAAATTGTTTTGATAAACAGTTTAAGGCATTGTAGTACAGTGAAAGAACTTTGAGATCAAATCTTTAGGTAAATAACTTAATTCATTTAACCTCAATTTCTTAGTCTGTAAAATAGAAATACTAATACTCCAGCAAGGTCATTTTGAAGACTAAATGAAATGTGACAGCTCCTTGCCCATGCTAGGCATGTGGCTAGATAAATGAGCATTTGTTATCTTCACATAAATTGTCTGAATAACATTGGAAGTTTTTCCAACAGATAGTACCATATGTAATTCACTAACTCTAAGATGTCATGGATTATAAGACGCACCATTATTTTTGTGCCTTTAAGAAAGAAAAAAGTACAGTCTGTTAAACTATAAAATAGCATCAGCTGTAAAGTTCATCAAGATCTCAGAAATGTTAAAATATGTGTAAAAATGTGTCTTATAACCAATTAACATGTACCATTAAAGCAATGGTATTATCTTAGTTTTTTTTCCCCAGAAGGAAACGGCGAGACAAATATTCAGAAGCTAATATTTTATTTTTGAGATAATACAAGACACACTGGTAAAGGAGAGGGAATATGAAACATGGAGGGGGAAAAAAGCCAATAAAGGGCCTCTACAAAATAAATTACTTTTGTGGGAAAATTGAGCATACTTTCACTGAGAAAATTCTAGGAGCCAGTACTGAACATGTACCTCAGAGTTATTTTACCCAAGGTGCAAGGGAGCTAGGTTATTTATGCACCAATTCCTGTTAGTACTTGGTTGAAGGCTACTTTTTTTTTGAGACAAGGTTCCATCTAGGCTGGAGTGCAGTGGCTTGATCACAGCTCACTGCAGCCTTGACCTCCTGGGCTTAAGCTATCCTTCAGCCCCCCAAGTAACTGGGACCACAGGCATGTGCCACCATGCCCGGATAATTTTTGTGTCTTTTGTGGAGATGGGGTTTCCCATGTTGTCCAGGCTACTGCTAATTCCCTGATATTTCTGCTTGTCCCATGTGTGGACAGAGAAGTTTCCAGTGGCCCCAGAGAACCATGAGACAGAGTTGCAGATACTGGCAGTTGGATAGAGGGCTTGTATAAGTGGAGATGGTCAGGCTGAGGATGCTGACACCGTATGCTACAGTCCACCCCTTACCCAGGCCCATTGCTGCCCAGGTTTACTGCATCTTCTCACTGATTCTTCAAGAATGTGGCCTGTCAAAATTCTAAATACAAATGAATGAGCAAAAACAAACAATTAAAAATACTCTAACAGAAGGGCTAATGGGAAAACAAGAGTCTCTGCTACTGTGATTGCCACTAAGGCCATACTGATAATCACATCACCCTCCCCTCTACTTATTCTACATTTCATTTATCCTTGCCCAGCTCTTCTGCTAGGCTAAGTTGCTTGCCCAGTGGGGTAACCAAAACTTTAACCCTGAGATGTCAGAACTCTCGGTTACCACGCTTTCCTCAGGCTGGGGTCGCTGCAATTTCTAATTCATTGTTATTACTGGGCATGAAAGTACTAAGAGATGTCCCAGTAAATCCTATGAATTCCAGATATCCTCCTCCAGCCCCTAATATGTAGCTATGTAGCACCAACCTCATTGGCTTATGATAATCATAATCAATTACCCCTGCCAGCCCAGTAAGTACATTTTAAATTCTGCTTACCTACTAGAATGAGGAGTTAAAAATATCCAGAAAGCAAACATTTTGTAAAAGTTCCCCAAGTGTGTCACTGGGGTAGTTATAGTGACACAGACCATTCCTTCTATCCTTTTGTTCTTGAATCTATGTATTGTACCTATTAGGCAAACAGTGCCATGTAATGGCATTGGTTCAAAGTCTATACTGCATCCAGAAGGACAGCACCCCAACACTGAAAGGAGTCATCCCCAACCTGGTGCTTTAGTTGTGCCTTAAAGAGCCATTTCAACATTATATCAGGCCAGCAGCTTTTGATGGTAGTATTAGTGAGTATATAGTAGCATTAATGAGCCCATGGTCATGTAACATGACCATTATCTTACTTCCACCGACATAAAATGGACGCCTAGTTCCAAGATCACATTATGGAGGATGTCATGGACCCATGGGTCCCTTTGATAGTAGTACTGTCTGAGATGCTGTGGGAAAGGAAGGCAAACCCATGCCTGGAATAACTTCCCCCTCTAGGTTAGAAGGGCACTGATGATAATTAACTTGCCACCAAGTAGCTGGCTAGTCTACCCAAGAGATGGTACCAAACTGAACACTCAGATTTGGTCTCTGCTGTTTATAGATTGGACATTCAGCAGCAGGTAGGTCAGTCCTGGTGAGAGGGACTCATGCTGTGGGGCATGGCCTGCACTCCTCTGTCATATAGATACATGATTTATGAGTTTATTGGCAAGCACAGGGTTGGCTGAGGACAGAAGCTGGCTGCTGTCCTGGGATGAAGTGTTCTGTCTAAGTAGTTGGCTGGGGCATTTTCTATGGTGGATATTTTCTTGTGAGCATTGATATGAGACATCCAAGTAAGTAGTGCTATTGTGCAAAAGAAATACATTTTCAGTTTTTACCAGTATGTGAAGTTGACCCACTCTTGAACAGGCCTGGGCTTTTGTAGGAAATGTGACAGCTCCTTGTCCATGCTAGGTATGTGGCAGGATAAATAAGTATTTATTCCCTTCATATTAACTGTCTGAATAATATTGGAAGTTTTTCCAACAGATAGTACCATATGTAATTCACTAACTCACGGATTATAAGATGCATAATTATTTTCATGCCTTTAAGAAAGAAAAAAGTGTTGTTTATTAAAATATGAAATAACATCAGATGTAAAGTTCATCAAGATTTCAGAAATGTTAAAATATTGTTTGAAAATCTGTGTCTTATGACCAATTAATGTGTACTATTAAAACAATGGTATTATCTTAGTTTTGGTTCCCCAGAAGGGTTAATATAACCTTGATGCAACTATAAATGTGCAGTGCTGCCTTTTTCAAGTGAATTACCCTTACTAATACAGTGACTCCACGTCTTGCCTGCTGGTCCCTGGACACAAGAAGTGCAAAGGACCCAAGAAACAGTGACTGTTTATACTTTTGTATTTTTGCTGCATCTCCTGGCAAAAAAGTTGCTCCTTGGAGAATCGGGAGCTCCAGCTCTCAAAGCCTAGAGCTGAGGAAATAGGAATCACAAGTCCTTCAATGAGGTACTGGGAGGAATGGGAAATACATCCACTCCTATTTCACTCTTGGGTTCCTGGGACCATGTATTCTTCCTTTAGGAGACACAGAGCCATATCAAAGTCTTTGATGCCTATAGTATGTTCTTGAGGATGCATACATATGCACAGAGCATTGCCTCTGAGCTGGTGTTTTAGCTGTGTTGTTAGTAGGCCATTCCAATGCACCATAAAATCAGAAGATTCTCGTATGTGATATAACTAGTGGATCCCTTAGTCACTGGCCCTGTCCTGCATCTGCTTTATTCTAAAATGGGTCCTGTGACCTGGCATGATGATGGATGGGATCCCATGCTGGTGGATCAAACACTCAGCCATCCCGTAGTTGAGCTGGCTGAGAGCTTGCAAGAGGGAAAGGCAAAACCATACTCAGAATGAGATATCGGTCACTGTGAGAATGAAACCCTGGCTCTTTCAGGATGGAAGGTGCCCAGCTAGTCAACTTGCCATCCACCAAGTGGCTGGTTGGTCTTCTTAAGGAATAGTACTGTATTGGGAGCTCAGTGTTGATCTCTGTCACTGGAAGGTTGAACATTGGTTGGCAGCAGTCACTGGTAGTTTTTGCCAGGGCCTGTTTCTTGTACCTACCACTAGTGATGGGGTTCTCGTTGCCCGCTAGACAGTGAGTGATCTGGCTTCAAAAACCCAACTTGTCTCCTCCTTTCTTGGACCACTCTTCATACCAACTGTCACAAGTTGCAGGGTCAGGACTAGGGTGAGGCAAGTGAGGGGCCTAGGACACAAAATTTAAGGAGGTACTTGATCTCAGTTTTGTGCAAGTATAGAGTTAGCAATAGAGAGTGAATGCCTCCTTAAATTTTGTGCCCTTGGTGCTTATCTTGCCTCATCCTAGTCCTAGTTCTAGAAAGTTGGATTTTTCTATAAGTTGATGTTGAGACGGAGTTTGGGTTGCACAATCAACACCTGTGAAAAGAAGGAGGTTGAGGCAAGATTGGTCAGAGGGAGAATTCAAACAAAAGTTCAGACTCAATAAAGCATTGGTCAACCAGGGAAGGAACTGAAACAAGTGTTACCCATCACAGCTGTTCTGCATTTGGCAGAAATGGCCAGATCTGTATAGTCCTACCTCACGCAGTCACCAGACACATGAAGCCCCATAAGGAGTGTAATTTTGTTAAAGTGGCTCTTTGCATCTGAAGTGGAGCCTAAAACTGACAGCTCCAGACTCTCTGTAGACCACACCCTCACAACTGGGCAGTAAGCATTCCTTGAGGAGTTGGTCTGAGTGACATAACTCCCTATCTACTATGACTCTCTTGTGGAGTCTTTGGTTTTTATCTTGGAAACTTTGTGTTCTGTTGACTTGGATGTCTTTATTCTCATTAGAGAAATGCTTTCTCCAGAAGACAAAACACTAATCTCATTGATTTGGAAGCTGAGAGACTTGGCTGTTTTAGTCTTCTCATGCCACTGAACCAAGAAGAGAAGGAGGTTAATGTACTGATTGGAGTAATTGAACCTAATTTCCAAGGAGAAATTGGGTAACTTCTACGCAACGAGGGCAGGGAGAACTATGAAGTCAGGGACTAGAAGTTAGGGAATTCTCTGAAACATCTCTTGGTAAGTGCATATCTCATGGTAAAAGTTAATGGAAAATGACAGCAACCAGAGTAAGAAAGGACAAATGATTTGGACTCCTCAAGAATGGAGATTTAGGTCACACAATCATGTGAAGAACCCAGCTAGGTGAGATCCTGGCTGAGGAAAAGGGTAACAAGAAATAATAGGGAAAAAAGAAATTGTAAACACTATGGCCTTTGGCCAGTCACAGAAACCAAGATAGTGGAAGTTATGTGGATTTTTTCCCCTTGTTTGTTACAAGTACACATACACACATGTATATAAATACAGACACATCTTCTCTCTCCTCTCTTCCCTTTATTATTTCATATAAGGAAGGATATTGGTGATTAACATTACAATGTGGTATATAACTTACAGAATATTCGGGAGTAACTGTGACTAAGTTCAAATATGCAAAAAAGGGTAGGTGTGGAGGCTGAGTAGCCAAAGGAGTGGACTGTGCCAGGTATTAAGCTATTAGCATCTCTGGTTCCAAACCAACCATCCTTTCTGTGTTCTGCTATGCTGGGATTCGGACTATGAAAACACATTTCTCTGTTATTAGCTGGCTTCCTGCTAGCTTCTGCCAGACTGGAAGACTGGAAGAGGGAGAAGGACTTTCTGCTCCCCATTTGTTTGCTATTCTAGTTTCTGTTACCCCAGGAATAGCTCATTACCTTAAAGTGCTAGTTGCTTCCAGCAGCAGTTGGTTCCAGTTTCCAACCTCTCTTCCTACTCCCAAGCCAACCTCTTCACACCTCCTTACAGGTATCTGCTCCAGATGGGACAGGCTTCCCTCCTCAAGGGTTCACATCCCAGTTCCAGCATGACACAGCAGTGTATTAAAGGTGTGTCTGGGGTTGGGAGGCAGTAGCTTAATGACCTGCAGATTCTACTTCTGTAAACATTCTCCAAATGTTGGTCCTTCAGACATCACTCAGTCTGCCTGGGTCATAAAGTGAGCCTGCTGACTCCAGAAAGAGGGCATATTTCTACCTCTAGGCGTAGAGCTACCTACCTCCGCTCTTATTTAAGGCAGAAAATATGTTGCACCAACCTAATACCCAATCCATGCACTGTTCTATGGAAAGCCCCAGGGTCTTTCCGGGGCTAGAAGGGAGATAAGGGCTCCCCCTGAGGCTCCCCAGTGCAGCAACAGAAGAGAATAAAAGGGCAAGAGGAAGCTGGATGTGATTAGACTCAACTTACAGTCTGAGACAAGAAAGTAAGGCAGTGATCCATGCTGACCTTTCTTTCCAGCTGTCTGGCAGCCTTTCCCCTGGAAGATGAAACTTTCCACAGTGTCTGTCTTAATTATGCATGGACACAGTTGATTTGCATATCCAAATACTCAGGGCTGTGGAGCGGACAAATAATTGGTGATTGGCTGCAGAAGGAAGGGAAAAAAAGGCAAAGCTTGCAAAGTCCCCTAACCTGTACACTAACTCGCACTGATCAACTTCCTTCTAACAAAACTGAGTTTGCAGAATTGGCCAGATGCAGTTGTCTTTACTTATTTACCGTTATTCCCTCCCCATTAACAGACCACACCAGTTGCCTCGCTGCAGCTTCACATATTTCTTGCTGCCCCTAGATTTTCTTAGCCTATCAGAGGATAATCTGACAGGTAAAATCTGCCAGTGGGTCATTATAGGTCCTTGGAAAATTTCTATATCTGCTTAGTCTTTAATTTTCCCTTTACTTACAAATAAGAAATTTGGATTAGATGATATTTAAAGATATTTCCAGTCCTACAAATTCTAAAGCTGTATGTTATGGGTTAAACTGTGCTCCCAACCCAAACCCAAATTCATATATTGAAGCCCTAACCCCTACAATGTGATAACATCTGGAGATGGGGCCTTTGAGAGGTAATTAGGGGACAGGTGAAGTTATGAGGATGGACCCTGATCTGATGGGTTAGTGCTGTTATAAGAAGAGACAGCAGAGAGCTTGATTTCTGTCTTTATCTGCCATGTGAGCAGACAGTGAGAAGGCAGCTCTCTGCAAGCCAGAAATTGAACCCTGCTGGACCTTGATCTTGGATTCTCTGCCTCCGGAAATGTAAGAAAATAAATTTCTGTTGTTTAATCACCCAGTCAATGGTATTTTGTTATGGAAGCCCAAGCTGGCTAAGACATTGTAGTTCTGCCTTTTCCCACAGAGTGATTTGGGCAAACTCTATCCCCTCCTTGGACTGCAGTTTTCTCACTGGCAAATGAAGAGTTTGGATTAGATTAGATCTAATGTGCTTTCCTCATTTGAAGTTCTCTGATTCTAACTTACTCTAAGATGTCACTGATGGAATGCATTGCCCCTTCTGGGAGTATTAAATTGAGGTAATAATCTCTCTCTCCACCCCTACCCCCACATTCAGCTACAAGTGATAGAAAGCAAACTTGAACATAAGCAAAGAGAAAATTTATTGGCCCTGGGAATCCAAGAAATGGTCTAAATACCAACATTCAGGAAGGACAGGGAGGCAACTGTGTCTTAACAACTCCTAGATCATGGACTCAAAAGCTGGACTAGTCCACCTCTCACTTGAGCTTCTTTTCATGTGTTAATTATTTGCTCTCAATGTAGGTCAGTATTTTTCCCTCAAAGGATGGAGACATAATGGAAAACTTGAGGTTTTCATCTTTCAGCATGTGCCACTAGGAGGGACCAACCTTGGCAGTCTGGGTTTAAATTTTTTAAATCCCAGAGAAAAGTGTCTTAACCCAGCTAGGCCAAGATGCCACATCTGGATCAATCAGCTGTGTCCAGGGCCAGGGAATTTAAATACCAAATCTCACTTAATATTCATGGAGACTGGGATGGAGCAGTTTCTGGGAGAAGAGAGCATGTATGTACTGATTTAACATTCCATGGGAATATGATTATCCTAAAGGTCAGGAGTTCACGACCAGCCTGGCCAACATGGTGAAACGCCATCTCTACTAAAAATACAAAAATTATCTGGGTGTGGTGGCATGCACCTGTAATCCCAGCTACTTGGGAGGCCGAGGTAGGAGAATTGCTGGAACCCAGGAGGTGGAGATTGCAGTGAAATCACACTGCTGCACTCCAGCCTGGACAACAGAGTGAGGCTCCGTCTCAAAAAAAAAAAAAAAAAAAAAAAAGGGGGATCTTTGATGGTGGGATGTTAGGCTACAATGAAGGGACCATGAGAATGTGGGCTGTGGGCCTCAAATGTTAATAATAGCAGAGAAGGCAGGTAAGACTAGGGTTCTCCTGTTTTATTAGTGAAGCAACTGAGGCTCAGGGAGTTAAATAATAAGTAAATGGTAGAGCTGAGACTGAAAGCCAGAATCCGATCTTACACCTCACATTGTTAACCTCTGCTCAGGGTCAGAAAAAAGGGCAAGGCTGCAAAGTCCCCGAACCTATACACTAACTTATACCTGATCAACTTCCCCCTAACAAAACTGTGGTTTGCAGAATTGGCTAGATTCAGCTTTAAAAAAATATAACCTCTTACCAGGCACTGTGATAGGTGCTAAGATGAACAGGAAAGACAAGGTCCCTGCCCTGAAAAACAGTAAAAAGAGATACAGACAAACATGTGGGTCATTGCATGATAGTGGGGGTTTATGGACACAATGAAAGCCGGTCCTTAGTGGTCCAATCTGCAGAAGAGCAGAATGCACCTAGTGGGGACACCCCCAGACCTCGTTTGTTGGGGTGAATCATGAAGTTCTTTTCTCTCTAACCACACACTTTGAATGTGCTAGCATGGAGCCCTCCCAGTATTAAAGAAGCAGGTAGGCCCTAGGAGGCCAGACCCAGGGGCAAGGCTGTGGTCTGCTGCAGGGGCCCATGGTCTCCCTCCTTGCAGCTCAGCAGCCACAGCAATCGTGGTACACACCAGGGCTTCAGTGTCTGCAGTGTTTCACTTCTTAGGTGGGAGGTTGGGTTCATGGGCATTCATTATGTTACTTTCTAAATCATCTTTTATATCTAAAGCATTTCAAAATGTAAAATATCATGTTGCAAAGGAATTTCATGACATGGGGAAAACGCTCACAAAAATAGTTTAATTTTAATAAAGCTGATTACAAAGCAATTTATTTAGAATAATTCTAATTTTGTAAGAAATAAAAAATAAACAATTTCAAAGTTATTTAAGTGATGAGATTTTGAGTATTCTTTTTATTTTGTGCAAATTCCAAATACTCTATAAGGAATATATATTATTTTTATATCAAAAAATAAGTTACTATAGGTTCTAATGTGATTGCTCCTGAGCCTGACACTCTCTCATTAGCGCAGTATTTGACTTTCTGCAAATGTTCTGAACTGCTTCTGTTGCAACTTCAGCCCACCCTTTTGCTGTGTGTCTCTGAGTGACTCCTCTTCCACAAAATCTTATTTTTTCTGCCTTCTTTGCTTGAAGGAGTCCAGCTCCATGGTTGTGGAAGAAAGGCTGTTATTTTCCAGAAAGTGCAGTGGAAATCAGTCTAAAGGCAGATAAAAAGATGAAAAGGCGGCAAGAACGGACTTAGTCTCAGTGCCTCATGCTGGTCAGGGATCCGTATCAATGTAATGTGTCCCTAAGTGTGCAGAGATGGTGCTTTATGGCTTTCAGAATGCCTTCACATCCACAAATGTGTTTTATAGTCACAAAACAGCTTGCTGTTCCCACAATCAGCCACTGTTTCAAACTACTGTGCATTTGCATTCACTATTCTCTTGTCTACCTATAAAACTTCAACATGGCTCCCCTTAAATGCCTCCTCCTTGCAGCCTTCCCTTGGCCCAGGTGGAATTAATCACACCTTCCTCTGTGCTCCTAGAACTCACACATACTGCCATTTTCATAGGTAGCTTACAGTAGGTATTGGAATGTAGCCCTGTCTTCCCCACTAGAACACAACCTTTTCAAGGGCAGGGGTGGAATCTTATTCATCTTTATGAACTGAACATTTAGTACCATGTCTGGTGAATGGTAGGTGCTCAATTTGATTGACATGAAGTAAGAAACCCAGTAAGGGCAAGCAAGGTAGTTGATATTGCCACCATCTGAAAGAGGAACAAGCTGAAGCTCGAGGAAGGATGAATCACCTTGCCTAAAATCCCTCAAAGAGTAAGTGATGAAGCAGGGCTTTGAACTTAGGTCAGTTTAACTTCCAAACTTGTACACTTTCAGTGCCATGATGGATAGTCCTCTCCATCATCATCTTTGTTATCATCATCATCTTCCAGTGGCAACGTTGAGCCAGAAACATAGGAAATACTAACTGAATAAATAACCATACTACTGCCATCATTGTTAATTATCACTCTCACCCCTTGCTATCATCTCTACCTATCATAACTCCTCCTCATACCTTTCTTCATGAGTCAACATGTGTTGATTACTGAAGCATGCAGAGCCAGGTGGTAGGTACGCCTTAGGTTTCTCTGTGTCCCCTGGGGTAGCTAGAACAGCTCTGGCACTGACACTGAGCAATAGACTTACTAACTTGACTTGCTGGTCTTCATGTTCCAGAATGAGGCAATGCCTCAGAGCTGAGAACTCACTGCATTTAGGGGAAGTGGATGCACAAACTTGGCCATATCTTGAGGACAAAGCTGTCACTCTTCACATCTCCAACCAGAAGTTTAGTGTGGTTTAGTGGAAAGAACACTGATCATGAGTGCCAAAGCCCTTGGTTTATGTCCTGGCTCTTTCATTGATTTACAAAGTAATTTTAGACAAATGCCATTATATCTTCGAGTGTCTTAGTTTCTTCATATATGAAGAAGAGGGGCAACATTTCTGACTTCCTTCACAGGTGTGGTAAGAAGGCTTGCCTAGGATCATGAATGTGAAATTGCTTTTCACTCTGGGAAGTCCTCCATATGACCCAGACATTCATGTTATTAAAAGTGCTAGGAATGGAATCGTTGGCTAATGAAATGGTCTATCCTCTCCTCTTTCTACCCTACCCAAGTGTTTTGCTAAATTATAGATCTCAAGCTCACTTTCTCTCTTCAGACCTAACCTAGATCCCAGCATCCTTTGAGTGTGTGTGTGTGTGTGTGTGTGTTACAGAGAGAGAGAGAGAGAGAGAAAGAAAGGAAGGGGGGGAGAGAGACAGAGAGAGGCAGAAGGTGGACGGGGGGAGAGAGAGACAGAAAGAGCTGGGAGAGAGAAGGAGTGAGAGAGAAAGACAGAAAGAGAGAGAAGAAAGAAAAGGAGACATAGCACATTATTCTGGCATTCTGGAAATCATATCCAAAGGGGATCTTAGGATTTGACTGGTATATATGCAGCTTTTATTTGATGGTGCTATTTTAAACAGTTCTCAGTTGGGAGGCTGGCAGCTCTGATTGCTTTTCAAAGCCCTGTCTTTTATCACCATCGTTTTCTTCATACATAAATCCAGGCTGCATCCCCACCTTCTGTTTCTTTTCTGTCTTCGAGCTGAGGAGTAAGCAAGATGCAATTTAGTAGCTGGGCTAGAGGGGGACCGGATTGCTTCAGAGACATCACTTGTTTAATTGACTTGTTTGCTTTCAGATGAGTCATGTTCAGTCTGAGTTGTTTTCCCTTAACTAGATGTTGGTGGCAGTGCTTTTTTTCTCCCTCCTGTTTCTTTCTTCCTTTCTTTCTTTTCCTTTGTCAAGCGCAATAAATATTGGTTCTGATGGAACACAGTCCTGGCTGTGAAGGACACAATCTTCCTCCTCTTTCTTGAAATTAGAATTGTCTACTCCACACTTGGTTGCATTTGGACAATGGGTGAATTTCTAACTCCCCGACTGTTCTCATCCCCAAGGTCAAGCTTAGCCAAAACATCCTATCCCCACATTTTCCTGCTCCCCCTCTACCATCTGCATAAAGGTAGTTAAGGCTCCTAAGGGGATCCTATCAAACAGGTGTTTACATTCTTAAATTTCTAATCTGGATATTTCTGGAAACAGGTAAACAGAGCCTTTCAGTTCAGCAGAAAGGTCTTAGCAGCAGGGAGTGGGAAATTTACTTGCAGAATAAAAGACTGAATTAAGGTTTGGCAATCTTCAGTCAATACAGGAACATAAGAAAACTGTTGAACACCACTGCTGACACCTAATTGGTCTCATAAATGTTTACGGGTGGAGGAAGGCAGGGAGGATGGAAAGAATTGAGGGAGGGAAGGAGAGACATCTCCTTTACAGGTTCCTCCTTTTCCCACTATAGATGTTGGATTTCACAGGTCTCTGTCCTGTCTCTCTAGATCCTTGTTAGGAAAAATGAGGTCTCTACACAGCACCTGCATTACCTACCAGCTTGTCAGATATGCACATTATCAGGCTCTACCCCAGACCCACTGCATCAGAATCTGCATTTTAACAAGATCCCCAGGTGATTCGAATGCCATTAACATGCTGTTTCAGAAAGTCTTACCATCTTAAAGCTTCAAGTGCCATCTAAACTCGGATGAATCCTCAATATGCCTCTTTAACCCTGATGTCTTCAGGAACTTCAGATCCGTGCATCTAAATGCCCAGTGCCTATTGGACTTTCTCTTTTGGAAGTTAACAGGTCATATCAAATCTTATATGACTAACAGACAACTCTTGACCCTCTAGGCTACTTCTTTATTTTTCCTGTTGTGCAGAAACGGCACCACCACCCACCATGTTCCTTAAGCCAAAAATGGTCATGCTATTTTTGAATTTTCTCTTTTCCTCACCCCCAGCACTCAATTTATCAGCCAGTTTGGTGCATTATTCCTCTGACTCTATCAGTTTTCCCATTTCCCTCTGTTCTCACTGCTAGAGACCTAGCCCAAGCCACTCATCATTTTTTGTTTGATTTACTATTCACTTCTATTCACTTCCACTTTTGCCTCATACAATCCAAAAGCTGCTGAAGAAATCTTTTTAAAACATGTGTCATGGCCATTCCCTGCTTAAAATCTTCCCATGGCTTCACATTTCATCTAGAATATAATAAAAAAAACTTTAACTTTTTTTTTTTTTTTTTTTTTTGGAGACAGGGTCTTGTTCTGTTGCCCAGGATGGAGTGAAGTGGTACAATCACGGCTCACTACAGCCTCAACTCCCTGGGCACAAAGCAATCCTCCCACCTCAGGCTCCTGAGTAGCTGGGACTACAGGCATGCACCACCATTCCCAGCTAATTTTTAAAATTTTTTGTAGAGCCCAGTTCTCCTATGCTGCCCACCCATACTGGTCTTGAACTCCTGGGCTCAAGCAATCCTTCCACCTTGGCCTCCCAAATTGTTGGGATTACAGACATGAGCCACAGCACCCAGCCAAATATCTTTAGGGGAAAAAAATCCTATGGGATCCACGGCCTACCTACTCTCTGATCCAAACTTTCAGCTCTGGTCTTTCAGCCCTTTTCTACTCTGCTCCACCCACAGGGCCTTCCTCCCAAGGCCTCTGTATGAGCTATTCTCTGCTGACTGGAATGGGCTCTTCTAATCTTACATGCTGGTTCTCTGCTTGTCGTTCAAATCACAGTCCAAATGTCACTTCCTTAAAATAGCCTTTCTTAATGATATAATCTAAATTAGCTCCAGTTACTTCTTACAATAATGATCTGCATAGTACACAACACTGACTTTGTATTGTTTGTTTGTTATTATGTATGCATGTATATATTTTTGTCTCGCTCTAAAATATAAATGTCTTGTGAGCAGGTCTTCCCTGCTTGTACCAGCTATAGTGTTCTAGTGAACAAACAGGCAAGGTTCCTGCTGATTTTAGATAATATACAGGTCAATACTGCCATTTTACATACAGGTTGTGGAGTAGATCTTCTCTGGCTGCCCAGGGTTGGCAACTAGAACCCAAAGCTGAGGACAAAGGGAAACCAAGCACCAAATGAATAATGCAGACGCTAGTTTGAGGACTCTGGAGTCCTCAGCCATCATCCTGGTTCTCTCTCATCTCCACCTATTTGCACAAAGCTTGTATAAATAGATGTCTAGGGATTAGAGGAGAAAGGCCAGAGCAGAAGTTGTTCGCTTGGGAGGAGTACTGTGGTTTTTCCTTCCTCTCCCTAATGAGTGGTCCTCCACCTAAGTGAAGCATTTTCAAGAGAATTTCTCACAGAGATTAGAGGGATTGGTAGCTTTTTTCAGGTGTGCTGTCTATTAATACAGCTGATCAGACCCATGCCTATCTAAGCAGGGTGCCCTTGAGACTTTGCATGTTCCTGCGATTAGAGGCATTACTTGCTTTCTTATAACACAGGAGGTATGAATGGCAGCTAAAGTTAGTCAAGAAAAGAGGGAAATAGCCTGAGATAAGAGATGTTTATCCCATACGATTTCTACCTGTACCCCACTATCCCAGGAAATAAGGGGGAAGAGGAGGTCTCCAGGGGGCAGATGCCTTCTCTCACCTACAAGTCTCTCATACCTAAGCCTACCAGGAAAGGAGTGGAAGGAAAAAGTGAGCATCAAATTGGGTGAGATTGAAGTTTTAAACTAATCTAATCTGGACATTTTTATTCGTGAAAGTGACAAGAAAGCTGAGAGGTCTGCCAGGCTTGTTATTAAGGGATAGATTCATCAGCGCTTGAGAGAAAATAGTGATGGGGAAAAAAAATTAAACTCTTCCATGGCTGCATCCCATCTGCTCAATAAACCATCTAGAAATTTCCACTGGTAGACCACCAAAGGTACACTCTATCTAGAGATAATTAAAGATTGAACAATATAGCCTTTCAATTCACATTTGCCATTGCATGCAAACTCTGAAACAAAGCTGTGCCACTTTACAGATGGAGACTGGCTGGTGAGTTTGGAAAAAGGCTCATGGTAGGGTTGTATTCAGGAGAGTTGAGTTGTGTGTTTGCTTCCCTCAATTGCATTTTTAAGTCTCTGAAGTCTGTAGACATCTCTTTGACAACCTGTGAACTCTTTAGATCAGAAACCATTTCTCAGCTTTTTTAAGTTTCTTATAACACCCAGAACAGCACACAGGAGACGTTCAATAAATATCCATTGAGTTATTCAGGAAATAAATGTATAGATTCCGTTTGATGATTATAGCTGGACCTCGTCCAGGTAAATTTGAGCTGAAAAATCAACTAACTTAGAGGGGGAAGATTGGAGCACAGAGTCTAATGATGCTATTTGTCAGCTGTGTGATTTTGGGCAAGTTACACATGTTTATGAGCCTTGGTTTTCTCATTCATAAAATAACAGCAGCCATACCTGTGTCACAGGTGTGGATAAAATGATACTGCACATGTGAACACACTGAACACAGAACAGTTACCCCAAAGCCCATTTCTGAAGCTATGGACTCTAGCACAATCTTCCTGGATTCTTATCCTCTGTGATTGTTTGACAGACTTCCCCTCCTCCCTCTCCCTTCCTCCTCTGTGTCCTCCTAGATTATAAATGCAGGCTGAATCCACCCTCTCAGACACATAAGAGACACGTGTGAGTAGGCCGAAAGACCTTTAAGAAAAGACCAATATTTGCATATCTATTATAACTACTCACTGTTCGACTTGTTTCATTACAATTTCTATTTGGATAATATGTAAGGTCAATACTGTCACTGTTCTGGAAAATTCATTTTTTATTAAAGCAAAATGCACTGTATTTATAGAGATAACACCTTAAATGCTACGAGAGAAGGTGCACCAATTACACTGGTTCCCTTGATGGGGCAGGTTTATGTGCTACATGTTTTATAATATGTTACAAGGAATGGGACCTTAGCCCGTGTTGATGTGTCCCAAGTGTCATTCCTCGCTTGAATTCGAATAGGTCTGACCATCCTTTCTCGTAGATCTGGGAGCACTGAGATAACCATAGTGAAAAAAACAACAAGGAAGAAAGCTCTCTTTTCTGCACCCCTCCATCAGTTTATTCCCACCGTCATTACATCCCTATCAGAGTCTCCCTGAGCTACATGCTTGCTTCTTCCATTAGACCATGAGCTACCAGAGGTATCAGGCTGAGCATCTGGGGCATACTAGAGCCTCAGTAAATATTTGTTCAATTAGTGAAAATGAATGCCTGACACAAAGCAAGAGCTTGGAAATGGTTCTTTGAATTGTTTTCTTCGCAGGGAGGTAGAATGGCATAATGCACCAAAAATGCACCTAGACATTCAACCAGGAAATCTTGAATTCAAATCCTGGCTTTATCACTTATTAGATATGTGACAATTTACTTAACTAAATGAAACTTCAGTTTTCTTTTTTTTTATTAAACAAGAAAAGTTCTTGTGATCATTATCCTTTTATAGTTCCTTGCACATAGTAGATAAAACACATTGTAATTCCATTTCTTCTTCACTTTTTCCTTTTTGATGAATAAAGAAGAATGCAGAATTGTTGGCATTTTCCTGCTTTTCATTCTATTCTGCTCAAGTAAACAAATCTAATTGAAACATGGAAAATCTTTTTGAGTATGTGTTTTGTGGTATTTTCTACAAAGACCTTGACTTCTGTTTTTCTTTTCTTTTCCCCATCCACTAATTTTAAACTCGATAAACAACTAACTAACCTTGCCATTTTGGTACAGGGAAGTCTGTGGTTCCTAAAGCAGAATATTGTAGACTAATACAATCTGTAAAGCATTAATGTCCTGGTAGCAGTCAGCTTCTTTAGTTATTCTTAATATATCAGAAGGCCTAAGGGAAAAGAAACACCTGTTTTAAGGTTTCACAGGCTAACTCAAATGTCAAATCTATGTGTGTTTGGCTGGAATGAAATCAACTCAAAACAGTAACCGTGGTTATCTCCTGGTGATCAAAATGTCAGTGGCTGTTTTAGTGTATTTTGATTCATTAAAATGATGGGAAAATAATTTACTGGTCCTTTAAAAATTCAGTCTATTTGATCAGAAAAAAATATTTCAAAACACAGAGTTTATGATAGAGGACACAAATAAAGAAGGGGACCTTTGGGAAAAGTGGCATGAGGGTTTCTTGGTGGAGGTTCGATTCGGCAGCGTGGCATAACTCCAGACAGTGGCATTTATGTAGGTGTCTGAGTCCGTTTGGGCTAAGCAAAAATACCGTAAACTAGGTGGCTTATAAACAACAAAAGTTTACTTCTCACAGTTCTGGAGATTGAGAAGTTAAAGATCAAGGCACCAGCAGATTCAATGTCTGGTGAAGGCCAACTTCCTGGTTCATACACAGCTCTCTTTTTGCTGTATCCTTACATGACAGAAGGAGAGGGAGTCTCTGGGCTCTCTTTTATAAGAGCACTGATCCCATTCATCAGGCTTCATTCCCATGATCTCATCACCTCTCAAAGGCCCCACCACCCAATATCATCACTTTAGGGGTTAGGATTTCAACATATGAATTTTGGGAGTGCACAAACATTCAGGCCATAGCAGTAGACCACAGTGTGAATAGCACCCCCTGGAGTTGTGTAATGTATTGATTGTGTTTAGACCCACTTTTCCGATAGTTTATTTTTACTGTGCTGGACTGAGGTGGAAAGAGTGGAGTTTGGAAAATTAGACCTACCCCTATTAGCTGTTGCCTTTGATCAAATCTCTAAACTTTACTCATCCCTAAATGGTGGTCCCTTTCTCTACAAATGTTAGATACATGCCGGATGGCTATGTACTTAGAGTCTGACCATATTAGCAGGTGACTAATTCTACTTCCTCATCAGCGTTTTAAAATATTCAATATACATTTATTATTATTACTAATAGGAAGGTTGAGTTGCACACATGATTTCAGGCACAGTATTTTGAAGAAGACTCTGGCATATACACAGGATTGCCATTTCCCTACATTATGTCCTCAGCACAGGTTAATTTAGAGGAGGCAGGGGAGGCATCTAGGCATAAGAGAAAAATAGGGATTTCTGGAGAGAAAATCAGTGCTTCCTATGCATGTGCACTGTAGGAAGTGCTTACATATGCAAGTCAGGCCAACTGAGACATGTCTGAGATAACAGGATGCCCTGAGCAGGCCTTCAAGCTGATGGATTTAAAGGAGAGGCTAGGGCTTCATGGCGGAGGAGTAAAGAAGAGGACCCAGTGGCAGAAGTGGCCAGTGGCTCCTGATTTATCCTGTGCAATTCAGTCATTTCACTCTGGCCCTTAACTTGCATTCCCATCCTACTCCAACTTCCCTGAAAATATCAACTCTGAGGTTACCTAGACTCACCGTCCTTAGAAAAGCATTCATCTAGTATGGCTCAACAGGCTTCTTAAGGGTCTCAACAGCTGCCTCCTCTCCACACCCCTCTCCCCCATCTCCCTGCAAAGATTAACATTGATCTTTTAACCTTACAGGAATCCTGGTAAATCTGAAATTTTCCTTTTTGTTACATTCCCAGTGATGTTACTGCCCCAAGGGATAATCTATCACATTTTCTAGATTGGCATGGGCGTCTTCTTGGCTCTGCATGCATGAAGAGTACATTGACCTCTCACCTTACCAATGAGGAAACTGAGACTCAGAGAGGCTGGAGAACTTACTCTAGGCCAACACTTAGCCATCTACCGAGCCAAGGTTCAAACACAATTCAATGTGTTTGAAGTCTGTTCTTCTTCCATCTCCTTCCACCTCCTTCACTCCCACTGATCATTAGGCTATGAAATGGAGAGTTCTTGAATCTTATGGTCAAAATCTATCAGGGCCCCTTCTTGCAGATGGGAGTGAGAAGGACATGAGATATTTGAGCCTATGAATCCCTTTTGATCTTTCCGGGCTGTTTCACATATTTGACTCTTTGAAAGTAGTGGTTGTAACCATGCATGGGTTTATGAGCCAAAAATGTGAGTCCATTTCTTTAAATAGATATCTGTTCCCTTAAACGAGCCCATTTGCAATTGCTACAAAGAGAATAAAATACCCAGGAATACAACTTACAAGGGACATGAAGGACCTCTTCAAGGAGAACTACAAACCACTGCTCAAAGAAATGAGGGAGGACACAAACAAATGGAAAAACATTCCATGCTCATGGATAGGAAGAATCAATTATCATGAAAATGGCCACACTGCCCAAAGTAATTCATAGATTCAGTGCTAGTTTCATCAAGCTACCACTGACTTTCTTCACAGGATTAGAAAAAACTACTTTAAATTTCATATGGAACCAAAAAAGAGCCTGCATAGCCAAGACAAACCTAAGCAAAAAGGACAAAGCTGGAGGCATCATGCTACCTAACTTCAAACTATACTACAAGACTATAGTAACCAAAACAGCATGGTACTGGTACCAAAACAGTTATATAGACCAATAGAACAGAACAGAGGCCTCAGAAATAACACCACACACCTACAACCATCTGATCTTTGACAAACCTGACAAAAACAAGAAATTGGGAAAGGATTCCCTATTTAATAAATGGGTTGGGAAAACTGGCTAGGCATATGCAGAAAACAGAAACTGTACCCCTTCTTACACCTTATACAAAAATTAACTCGAGATGGATTAAAGACTTAAACGTAAGACCTAAAACCATAAAAACTCTAGAAGAAAACCTAGGCAATACCATTCAGAACATAGACATGGGCAAAGACTTCATGATGAAAACACCAAAAGCAATGGCAACAAAAGCCAAAATTGACAAATGGGATCTAATTAAACTAAAGAGCTTCTGAACAGCAAAAAGAAACTGTAATCAGAGTGAATAGGCAACCTACAGAACCGGAGAAAATTTTTTACAATCTATCCGCCTGACAAAGGGCTAATATCCAGAATCTACAAGGAATTTAAACAAATTTACAAGAGAAAAACAAACAACCCCATCAAAAAGTGTGCAGAGGATATGAGCAGACATTTCACAAAAGAGGACATTTATGCAGCCAACAAACACGTGAAAAAAAGATCATCATCACTGTTATTGAGAAATGCAAATCAAAACCACAATGAGATACCATCTCATGCCACTTAGAATGGCAGTCATTAAAAAGTCAGGAAAAAACAGATACTGGAGAGGATGTGGAGAAATAGGAATGCTTTTACACATTTGGTGGGAGTGTAAATTAGTTCAACCATTGTGGAAGACAGTGTGGCAATTCCTCAAGGATCTAGAACCAGAAATACCATTCGACCCAGCAATCCCATTACTGGGTATATACCCAGAGGATTATAAATCATTCTACTATAAAGACATATGCACACGTGTGTTTATTGTGGCACTGTTCACAATAGCTAAGACTTGGAACCAACCTAAATGCCCATCAATGATAGACTGGATAAAGAAAATGTGGCACATATACACCATGGAATACTATGCAGCCACAAAAAGGATGAGTTCATGTCCTTTGAAGGGACATGGATGAAGCTGGAAACCATCATTCTCAGCAAACTACCATAAGAACAGAAAACCAAACACTGTATGTTCTCACTCATAAGTGGGAGTTGAGCAATGAGAACACATGGACACAGGGAGGGGAACATCACACACCAGGGCCTGTCGAGGGGTGGGCGTCTAGGGGAGGGATAGCATTAGGAGAAATGCCTAATGTAGATGAAGGGTTTATGGGTGCAGCAAACCACCATGGTATGTGCATACCTATATAACAAACCTGCACATTCTGCACATGTACCCCGAACTTAAAATATCATAATAATAGTAATAATGATAATAATAATAATAATAATAAAAGGAGCCAAGTCAAAATGTTGAACTAGAGAACTTCTCTTTTGGACAGGGCTCAAATAGCTACCAGCAATAATTGCTGCTCACATGCTTTTCCCCGCTATGCACTGGTTCATGCTCAGTGACTTGCATCCTGGGATGTGGGGAGATGATTCAGATACAGGTACTTCAGTATCTCAGGCACTGAGGAAACCAGACTGTTTGCAATTTCATGGAACTAAGAGAAGAGCAGGGGCTCAGGCTGTGGAGCAACCCAGGAGCTCAGATACTCAAACCAAGCCCAAGCCAAGAAGAAGGTCCGAGTGATCAGCATCCTGATGTCATGTGCCAGTAAGCTCTTAGGCTTACAGATTTCTCTGAATAGGGTCAGAGTAAGTTTTCAAAGACTGAAGTGGGGATGGGACAGCAGGCGGAGGCAGGGAGCCAGACACTCTTCTCTCTCAAAGCTGTGTTCTGAGCTCACCTTTTTCATGAAACTTTTCCAGATGGACTACAGTCAGCCCCAAGCAGTCCAATCTTCCTAATGACATCTTGACAATCTAAATCAGGGTCAGACACCTCTTTGAAGTATCCTGCCAAGTCTTCCTTTGTTCATTTTAATCCAGGATCTAAAAACCTTTCATGAGTGGCATGCCAAAGACTTCATTTATTTACTCTAATTTAGCATTTCATGTGCCAAAAAAACTTCCCAACGTGTGTAAAATCTCATTGTAGGGTGAAGTAAAAGTCAGTATAAAATCACATAATTAGAATCACAGCATCAGAATGTTGAATTATTGAGTTCTAAAACTTCATTTTAAAGATGGATAAATCAGGGCCACAGGAGGATAAAGTGTTACCTGGAGTCTAATAGCCAAGTTAGGGCCAGACCCAAGCTAGAGTCTACTGAGTCTTAAATTTTCTTTTTATTCTATCACTACTTTTTACAAGCAAATTTGAGTCTTAAACATAGAGCATCTGCTAGCAACATCAAGAAAACTGAAACCTCAAACAAAATCATCTTTTTTTTTTGTAACTACAGCCATGAATTTCTCCAGCATTTAGAGACTTCTAGCCTCATGTTGTTTTACTGGTCTCTTTACTGGCTTGCGGTTTGTTGGAAAAAGCAGTGACTGACTTAGAAGGCTGAGTTTGGATGCAGTTCAGTCATTCATTTTTTTGAATCTTGAGTACATTATTTAGCTTCTTTGAGACTCTGCTCATTCAAAGGTAAATAAGGAAAAATCACAACCTCCTAGAGTTGTTAGGAGGTGTATTTGCCAGGGGTTTGGAGAAAATAGGTCCCATGTTGGTTGGTTCAATAATTGGTCACAAAATGGCAAAAGGACCAACAGAGCAATGAGGGAAGGTGAGGTCATCCTAGCATTAGCAAGTATAAGAAGCCACTACCTCTTCCAGAGCTGCAGGTACAAAGAGATGAGGCAATGCTAAGAGCCCTGGCATCAGGGCCTGGTGAGAGCTGGACCCTTGGAGGATAGTCATTCCCAGGGGAGTCAGGCAAGACCCGGAGTTAGTGGTAAGGCTGCCTTGCAGGAGCTCAGATCATGGTTTGAGGGGCTGACTGTTGGGAGCTAGAACCTGGAGGAGAAGCAGCCACTGCTCAAGCCAAGGGGGCAAGGTGAGAAATAGTTAGCTTCTCTTTCCCTCCCTTCTTCCAGTCTCTTTCTACTGCCTGCTGTCAGCTGAACTGAACAGAGGTGAGGTCTTTTGGCAAGAGAACCTTGGAATGTTGTTTGCAGGGTTTGGCCTCCCTGTGATAAAGAGTAAATCAGGGAAGTGCAAGAATTGATCTGAGTGCAGAGGAGTTGAATAATTTCCTGCATATCAAGCTCCTAGCACTGTGCACAAAGGTGGTTCTCCTCCACCTTGTGACACATTACTGGGATCCACAGCACTGAAATAAACCTCCAAGGATTGTCTTTCCCAGGTGGCTCAGGCATTTTTTGATCTTGAAGTGGTAATTGACAATCTCCCACCAAGGTCAAGGTGGCTGAAGCTGGCTTCCTATGTGCACCCTATTCATTAAAACCATCGGTTGGGTGCAGTCACGCATGCCTGCAATCAGCACTTTGGGAAGCTGAGGCGGGTGAATCGCCTGAGGTCAGGAGTTTGCGACCAGCCTGACTAACATGGTGAAACACCATCTCTACTAAATACAAAAAAATTAGCCGGACATGGTGGCACATGCCTGTAATGCACGCTACTTGGGAGGCTGAGACAAGAGAATTGCTTGTACCTGGGAGGCGGAGGTTGTGGTGAGCCGAGATTGTGTCATTGCACTCCAGTCTGGGCAACAAGAGCGAAACTTTGTCTCAAAACAAACAAACAAACAAACAAAACAAAACAAAACAAAACAAACCCATAATCATTTCTTATGCTTTATAAAGTACCTTTTCTATCATGTATTTAAGCTTGGCAGCAACCCAATGAGTCATATGATAAAATGGACCATACAGTTGAGGCACAGAGAGGTTAGGTAAGTAGCCCAAAGTCAAACAGCTAATAGATGGTGGAGTCAAGTTTGAATTGCAATCTGACTCTAAGTTTAGTCCTTTCACTTATACCTGTAGCTTGCTTCGCCAGTGTGGCCACAGAATTCATGAGTTTTAAGCATTTCACACATGGTGTTTCATCGTTTCCTTCTAGCAGGTAGTTGCTATTATTTTCTCTTATTTCTAGATGAGGATCCTGAGGTCCATTGAGGTTACATGACTTGTCCTTTGTTAGTGGAATGATATTATTTGTAATGTAATGAGCTTCTCATCATTAGAACTAATTAAGCTAGTGATCACATATCTGGCTGTGGCAGCACAGATGCTTATAGATACTTCATGATTAAAATGAATCATTGCATTTCAAAGGGCTTTTTCTGGAACCCCACATTTCTGAAGAAGATTACTTATCCAGAGAAACTCCATTTTTGTCCATTTCCTGTATTGAGCTACCATGTAGGATGTTATTTGCAAAAAATGGTTCTGCTGCTATAAAACAAAAGCAAATTGAACCCGACTGACTTAATGACCCTCAAAGTCATTTTTACAGCTCTGATTCCACAATATTATGAAATAACGAGCACCGGCACACATCACCGTTGCAAATACAATATGAGGACCCTAGGCAGAGGACAGGATCCTCTCATAGAAGCTGAATAAATAGCTATTGTGAGGAGTTCAGTGGGTGATGGCACAGGGGCCTTCATTTCCGCTTCTAGCCAAAGAAAATTTTGATCAGGCTGCAGGCCGCCTGCCCATTCATCTGCAGCAGGAAATGGATTTAGTGTCTGTATGGGCCGGACTGCCGTATCTATCATCCAGTTAGGCCTAATCAAAATGTTTTCCGTTTCACCTAGTAAGTGCAAAGGGCTTGGAGGAGGGTCTGAGTGATGGTGATGGAGTCCCATCGCTTTCTCATCACTGAACTGCAGTTGTTAAAAGGCCCATTTCTCCTCAGTGTCTCACTCTGAGCTGAGGCAGGCAATCTCTCCTGTCCCTGGAAGCTGCTCTTGGCAGCAGAAAAAAATCTATAGAATTGACCCAGGACGGGGAGGGAGGCAGGGCACATTATAACCCCAAGGAAGCCTAAGGTCAGAGGTGAAACTCAGCACTGATAGATGAAATGAACCTCCTAGCAGGAGCCTCCTTATATAATGAGGGGCTGCAACCTCCTGGGATGGGGGTGGGTGAGGAAGCAGAGGCCAGAGGTCCTCTTAGGCACGAGGGAAGCTCAGGAGAGGGGATTGGAGTATCTCTGGCCTCTTAAGTACAGAGAAGGTGGGGGAAGGGGCTGCTGATTAGAATGAAAATGTGACAGTCATGCAAATCTTCCCGTTGGATTTATGCATCCTTTGCCAGGATTCCAGGAGGAGGATACCTGACAGCCCCCATTAGAGCCAGAGAAATGGGGAAAGTTACACATTGTTCTGTTAAGGGAAGCCCGAAGACCAGGGAATGGAGGCATCCCTGCTGAATTTGTTACTGAGGGAATATTGATTTCAGGAGAAAAACAAATAATGCAGAAATGTTTCCACTTTGATGTAGCACATTCTGATTTGGACTGCACTGTGGTGAAACTTCCTTGTGTGGCTCTCAGTATTCCAAAGCAGACATAATTCTTTTCCATTGAAGGATGTTATTGGTGGCATGGGGGTGGTAGAAAAAATGAGCTTGCAGTTGATTTTGATTCAGCTGGGAAATGGGTTGTTCCAAGAAGTGGCGAAATGAGACTACTGAGGTAGGCTAAGGTCTGGGAGGGCCTTAAATTGTGGGCTAAGAGATGTGGTCAGTGTTTCAGGGTAATGAAAAACAATGAAAGTCTTTTGACCAGCAGACTGATAAGATCAGAACTGTGCTTTTGAGGTTAATTCTGGCAGCCCAGTGGAAGGTGGGCTGAAGGGGTGGAAAGGGTCCTTTTCCTCTTTTCACTTCATTGATGAGCAAATGCATCTATAGGTGCTAGGCTGGGATGCCAGTTAGAAGCCTATTACAATGGCCATATAACAGAGAGGCTGAAAGACCTAGCTGAATTTGGGAAAGGTAGTGAGAAAAAGATAGAGAATAATATTTTGAGTATTCAATAAGAGCCTATCTTGTGCCCATCATTAGATGCCTATCACCTCATTTAACCCTTGCAGCAATCCTGCAAGCTAGGCAGTAATATTCCCCTGTTACAAATGAGAAAACAGGCTCTCAGTGATGTTAGTTAACCTCTCAATGGTATTTAAACCAACACACAGTTTCATCTGCCAAAAGAATAGAAAAGTTTCTAGTTCAAGTCCACTGAACTCAGCCCACCATTATGTTTCTTCTTGATATGCAGAGTTTTATATCCAGAAGGGGCTTTTCGGATTATCTAGTTCTTCTCCGCATTTTGTAGAAGAGAAGACTGAGGCAGGGGGTGGAGGGTGAGACAGCTCAGGTCTGCATTCTTTTTATTCTTCCAAATGCCTTCTCATTCTCTGTTGTCAATATGAGCCCTCGTTTCATCTGAAGCTCACACCACACTCCCAACAGATAGGAAATTGAGTTATACCAATTATGTCCCTGGCACAGTTCAAAATGAAGTGATTGTCAGCAATACCATCACAATTTTCTTCACTGGACCACTAATTTCCTCTCTTACCCCTTTAATCACTGATGCTTGAGGATCTTCCTTATTCTTTAACACAAGGGTCACTTTAAGACACCTGCTATGTGTTCAGGAGCTCCCTTGCTATAACATTAATTAGTGCAATCCTCAACAACAACCTTCTGAGCTGAGCAGCTCTGCTTGTCTTGCCAGTTGAGAACAGCGAGACTCAGAGAGGTTAAGTAACTTGCCTAAGGTCACATAGGTAGGAAGTGGCATAGCAGGATTCAAATCCAGGTTGGTCTCATTCCAAAGCCTCTTCATGAAAATGTCTCTCCTCCTGTTTTAATGTCATTTTATCATTAAGGAGACATTGTTGAGTGCCCACTATATGTCAGGTACAGTGACAAGTACTGAAGGTCTGCACTACAAGTCAGCAATGCATTCTGTGCTCTCACAGAGTCCCAAAGAAGGACACAGGTTAAACAGCAATGTTTCTCCTCTCCTATTTCTTAACAATGGTCAGAACCCATGTATTTACAGCACTTGACAACTCACAAAGCATTTCATATCATTATCTTATTATACTCAAACAACCACCCTAGAAAGCACATAATTTCAGCTCCTCTCTTTCAATAGAGAAGACAAGATGAGAAATAGAGTAAATGACTCAAATAGATTAGAGAGGTTAAGTGATGTGTGTTAGCCTATGCCGCTGGCAATGTGGTTTAACTTTTTGCTCACTGCTCTTCACGCAGCACAACATGAATTCTGGGTCTTTCTGTCTTTCTCCCTCCCAACTTTTTGTCAGCCAAACTTGACTCTTCCATCTATTTGTGTTGAAACTTTCTCTATAGTGTCCCTTGCAGCAGTAAGCTGATACCTTGTGCTACCACACTCTAACCCAGGGCTGTCTATGTTCACACTCTTCAGATCTGTGACTCCTCGTGTGGCTTTTTTTTCTCTTTCAGATTTGGTGAGTCTTGAATGCCCCTGAAAACCATTCTGCTCCATTTCAAAAGTGTAAGTCTAAGGAACTACCTAGAGTGCACACATTTCTCCCTGGTTTTCCTTTTCTCCATCCATCTATCCATCCATCCATCCATCCATCCATCCATCCATCCATCCATCTATATGTTCCAGTTATAGAGACAAGAGCTCAGCATCCCAGTGGTAGAGAAAACTCTAGCAGCTACTGCTAGATGAGTCAGAACCATGGACTGTCACCCCCAGCATTATAGACCTGCAGACCTGTGGAAAAGGGAGTTGGGGCTGGATGGAACATTTGAGACAAATAGGAGACTACTGATGAATGAAGCTAGGGAGGCAGGCAGTGGCCAAATGGTGAATGGCAAGATAAGAAGTTTGGACATAAGCCTATAAGCAAAGGAGGCATGAACAGGCTTTATGCAGGGAGGGACCTGACCAGATTTTAATCTTAGAGGGAACACTTGGGGTGTAGTGTGGAGACACCAAATTTGAACAACCAATGTTAGACTCCAAAAGATCATTTAAGAGAGAGTTACAAAAACAAACAGTTATGAGGGCCCAAGCTGGGTCTATGGGGTGGCGATAGGGGAAAGAAGGAAGTTGGAGAGATTAAAAAGGAGGTGAAATCAATATGTTTTGATGGAAAGGGATTGAGAGAGGTCTAGGATGCCTCCAGGATTTTTGTTTGGATTATGAACTTTGATATAGGGTACATTGGAGAAACAATGAAATTGAGAGCCAAAAGATGTTGAATTCAGCTTTGGTACATTGAGTGAGCTTGAGGTGTCAGCGTGACATCCATGTGGAAATGTCCAGTGATCAGTTAAGTATATGAGCTTGGAGTTCAGAAGAAAGGATGATATATAATGAACACTGAATGGATAATAGTTATGTTGCTGTATTTTGCTAATTTAGCTCAGACCCTAATTATTGATTTATCCACATTCTCATTAGGATGTTGCTGATCACTGCAGCCCACGGGCATTGCCTATTGATGGTAAATCCACACAGTCTGAGGTTGTGAATCCAAGCTGACCAATTCACTGGGACACCTTTTAGTCTTATAGGCCCTTCCAAGTTCATCTCCCTCCAAAGTTCCCCAGATTCCACCTGAGTTCTGGCTTCCTCTGCTTACAAATATCTTATCATCATGGCTTTAGTTTGCTAGAAACTCAAGTGCTACTGTCTTTAAGTAGTTTCATGTATCTAGACATTCCAAAACAGTGGAACTCACACTGTCTCTCTTGGCATTTCGGAATTAAATGTTAGAGAATCTCAGAGCTGGGCAGTCATCTTGCAGATCATGCACAGCTTTTTAATTTTATGAATGGAAGTTGTGAGGCCAAGGCAGAGGAAGTGACTTACTGAGGCTCCCTTCCATTCAATAAAATGTTTATTTGTTGTGTGTCTACCATTTTTCAAGCTATATATCTTAGATGCTGGAAATACAATGGTGAAACTGAAATATGTAGACCCTACTGTGTTCTTTACAGCCTATCAGGACAGAGGTAAACACTGTTAACCAGACTAGAGAAAGTGGTAATAAAATAATCATTAACTATCTGCCCGCATCACCTTAGAAATAATTTCTTGTGAGGAGCTAGTGTGTAGCAGAAAGTAAGGGTCATCTAACTCTAATTCTAAGTCCTTTCCAGTATATCATGTTGCCTC